>NC_000001.11:210608829-210760344 GCF_000001405.40 Homo sapiens
GCTGCATCCTCCAGAGGGGACAAAACTGAATTGACTCACAGTTCAACATGGCTGGGGAGGCCTCAGGAAACTTACAATCATGGCGGAAGGCGAAGGGGATGCAAGGCACCTTCTTCACAAGGCTAAAAGAGGAAGTGCCAAGCGAAGGGGGAAGAGCCCCTTATAAAACCGTCAGAGCTCATGAAAATCCACTATCATGTGAGCAGCATGGGGGAAACTAGCCCCATGACTCAATGACCTCCACCTGGTCTCTTCTTTGACACGTGGTGATTATGGGGATTACAATTCAAGATGAGATTTGTGTGGGGACACAAAGCCTAACAATATCACTATGGTTGTGCTTTTTCAAACTTTCTGCTCCTTTTGTTCAAAATTTAGGTAATTTATATTTTCTAGATAATTTACATTTTTAAGCTATGTCTGCAAATATATTGTTATATAATCTCCAAAGATTTAAAAATTTTCTATATATCTTCTTATTTATTTTGCCTAATTGTCTTAATTGATAAAAATTGCTAAAGTTTACTCATTTTATTTTTCCTTAAATAAAAACTTTTGGTTTGAATGAGTGAAATTTTAAAAAATGTAATGGTGTGTTAATTCTTGCAAATTGTTGATATTCATTATTTTATTGCAGTGTTATCAGTGAGCATAGTTTTTATGGTAACTTTTTTTCTTTATTTTTTCAACTTTTAAGTTTAGGGGTACATGTGCAGGATGTGCAGATTTATTATATAGGTAGATGTGTGCCATGGTGGTATGCTGCACAGATCATCTCGTCTCCTAGGTATTAAGCCCAGCATCCATTAGCTGTTCTTCCTGATGCTTTCCCTCTCCCTAGCCCCTCAACAGGCCCCAATGTGTGTTGTTCCCCACCATGGGTCCATGTGTTCTCATCATTCAGCTCCCACTTATAAGTGAGAACATGCGGTGCTTGGTTTTCTGTTCCTGCATTAGTTTGCTGAGGATAATGGCTTTCAACTCCATCCATGTCCCTTCAAAGGATGTGATCTTATTTCTTTTTTGGGCTACATAGTATTTCATGGTGTATATATACCACATTTTTCTTTGTCCAATCTATCATTGATGGGCGTTTAGATTGACTCCATGTCTTTGCTATTGTGAATAGTGCTGCAATGAACATACGTGTGCAAGTATCTTTATAATAGAATGATTTATATTCCCTTGGGTATATACCCAGTAATGGGATTCCTGGGCCAAATGGTATTTCTGCTTCTAGGTCTTTGAGGAATTGCCACAGTGTCTTCCACAATGGTTGAGTTAACTTACACTCCCACCAACAGTGTAAAAGTGTTTTGTTTTGTTTTGTTTTCTCTGCCACCTTGCCAGCATCTGTTCTTTTGACTTTTTTATAATTGCCATTCTGACTGGCATGAGATGCTATCTCATTGTGGTTTTGATTTGCATTTCTCTAATGATCAGTGATGTTGAGCTTTTTAAAAATATGTTGGCCACATGTGTGTCTTCTTTTGAGAAGTGTCTTTCATGTCCTTTCCCTACTTTTTAATGGGGTTGCTTGTTTTTCTCTTGTAGATTTATTTAAGTTCCTTATAGATGCTGGATAGTAGACCTTTGTCATATGGATAGATTGCAAATATTTACTCACATTCTGTAAGTTGTCTGTTCACTCTGATAGTTTATTTTGCTATGCAGAAGCTCTTTAGTTTAATTAGATGCCATTTGTCAATTTTTGCTTTCGTTGCAATTGCTTTTGGGGATTTTGTCATGAAATCTTTGCCTGTGCCTATGTCCTGAATAGTATTGCCTAGATTTTCTTCTAGGGTTTTTATATTTTGGATTTTATATTTAAGTCTTTAATCCATCTTGAATTAATTTTTTATATGGTATAAGGAAGAGGTCCAGTTTCAATTTTCTGCATATGGCTAGCCAGTTCTCCCAGCACCATTTTTTAAATAGGGAATTGTTTCCCCATTGCTTGTTTTTGTCAGGTTTGTTGGAGATCAGACGATTATAGGTATGCGGTCTCATTTCTGGGTTCTCTATTCTGTTCTATCAGTCTATGTGTCTGTTCTTGTACCAGACACATAGTTTTGGTTATTGTAGCCTTGTACTATAGTTTGAAGTCAGGTAGCCTGATGCCTCCAGACTTGTTCTTTTTGCTTAGGACTTGCCTTGGCTATTTGGGCTCTTTTTTGGTTCCATATGAATTTTAAAATAGTTTTTTCTAATTCTGTGAATGATGTCAATGATAGTTTAATGGGAATAACACTGAATCTATGAATTACTTTGGGCAGTATGGCCATTTTCACGATATTGATTATTCCTATCCATGAGCATGGAACGTTCTTCCACTTGTGTCCTCACTGATTTATTTGAGCAGTAGTTTGTAGTTCTCCTTGAAGAGGTCCTTCACTTCCCTTGTTAGCTGTATTCCTAGGTATTTTTTTCTTTTTGTAGCAATCGTTAGTGGGAGTTAATTCATGATTTAGCCCTCTGCTTGCCTGTTGTTGGTGTATAGGAATGCTAGGGATTTTTGCACATGATTTTTATATGCTGAGACTTTGCTGAAGTTGCTTATCAGCTTAAGTAGCTTTTGGGCTGAGATGATGGGGTTTTCTAAAGATAGGATCATGTCATCTCCAAAGATAATTTGACTTCCTCTCTTCCTATTTGAATGCGCTTTATTTATTTCTCTTGCCTGATTGCCCTGGCCAGAGCTACCAATACTATGTTGAATAGGAATGGTGAGAGAGAGCATCCTTGTCTAGTGCTGGTTTTCAAGAGGAACAGTTTCTGCTTTTGCCCATTTAGTATGATGTTGGCTATGGGTTTGTCATATATCACTCTTATATTTTGAGGTATGTTTCTTCAATACCTAGTTTATTGAGAGTTTTTAACAAGGAGGGATGTTGAATTTTCTCGAAGGCCTTTTCTGCATCTATTGTGATAATCATGTGGTTTTTTGTCTTTAGTTCTGTTTATGTGATGAATCACCTTTATTGATTTGCGTATGTGGAACCAACTTTGCATCCCAGGGATGAAGCCAACTTGATTGTGGTGCATAAGCTTTTTGACGTGCTGCTGGATTTGGTTTGCTGGTATTTTATTGAGGATTTTTACATCAATGTTCATCAAGGATATTGACCTGAAGTGTTCTTTTTTTGTTGTATCTCTGCCATGTTTTGACATCAGGATGACGCTGGCCTTCATGATAGCTTCTTAGAATGTATTTAGGCTCCTTTCCTGGTTTAATACATGTTGAGTTTGATTATGGCCCACCTGCGTTTGAAAACTGCATGTATTCACTCTTCCATGTATCTATTGGTAAAGGCCTGTTAATGTTTTCATTGTGATAAAGTATACTTAACATATAATTTGCCATTTTAACCACATTTGGGTATACAATTAAGGGGTATTAAAAACATTCGTATTGTTTTACAACCATCACCACCCTCAATCTCCAGAACTTTTTCATCATCCTAATCTGAAACCTCTCATCCTCTCCTCTCTCAGTCCCTAGTAGCCACTATTCTACTTTCTGTCTCTATATATTTGACTGTTTTAGGTATCTTATATAAATGCAACCATACAATGTTTGTCCCTTTGTGTCTGGCTTATTTCACTTAGCATAATGTCTTCAGAGTTCATTCATGTTGTGGCATACATCAAAACTTCTTGCCTTTTTAAGGCTAAAATGCCATTTTATGTATATATTACTCTGTTTACTCACTCATCCATTGATAGACATTTGGGTTGCTTCCACCTTTTGCCTATTGTGAATAATACTGCTGTGTACACTGGTGTACAAATATATGTCTGAGTCCCTTTCAGTTCTTTTTTGTATATACCTAGAAATGAAATTGCTGGATCATATGGCAATTTTGTGTTTAATTTTTTGAGAAACCTATATACCGTTTTCCACAGTGGCTCTACCATTTTACATTCTCACCAGCAATACGTAGGGCTTAAGATTTCTTCATGTCCTCATCAACACGTGTTATTTTGTTTTTGATATAGCCACCTTAGAAGGTGTGAAGTGATATCTCATGGTTTTGATTTGCATTTCCTTTATGACTTTTTTGTGCTTACTGGCCATTTGTATATCTTCTTTGGATAAATGTCTATTCAAATTCTTTGTCCATTTTTAAAGTTGGATTTTTTTGGTTGTTGTGTTATAGGAGTTCTTGATATATTCTGGATATTAAGCTCTTATCAATATGTGATTGCAGATCTTTTCTCCCATTCCTGGGTTGTCTTTTTACTCTGTTAATAGTATCATTTGATGAATAAAAGTTAATTTGGTAAGGTCAAGTTTATCTCTTTTTACTTTTGTTGATGGTGCTTTTTGTGTCATAGCCAAGAAATCATTGCTAAATCCAATGTCATGAAGGTCTCCCCCTGTTTTCTTTTAAGAGTTTTATAGTTTTAGTTCATCTTTTTAGATACTTGAACCCTTTTGAGTTAATTTTTGTGTATGGTATAAGGGTCCAGTTTCGTTCTTTTGCATGTGTATATCCAGGTTTTCCAGAACCATTTGTTGGAAAGACTGTTCTTTCCTCATTAAATGCTCTTTCTGCCCTTGTTGAGGATCATTTGGCCTTGTTGAAAACTATTTAACCGTATATAAGGGTTTATTTCTGGTCTCTCTATTCTATTCCATTGGTCTATATGTTTATCTTTATGTCAGTACCACACAGTTTTGATTATTGTAGCTTTAAGTGTTAAAATCAGGAAGTTTGTGTCCTGCAACTTTGTTCTGCTTTTTCAAGGTTGTTTTGGCCAGTTGGGGCCATTTGAGATCTCAGGTGAATTTTAGGGTGGGGTTTTCTATTTTTCCAAAGAATGTCATTGGGATTTTGATAGGGATTATACTGGATCTGTGGATCACTTTGGGTAGTATTGTTATTTTAACAATATTCTTCCCAACTGGGTGCAGTGGCTCATGCCTATAATTCCAGCACTTTGTGAGGCTGAGGTGGGAGGATCACTTGAGCCCAGGAGTTTGAGACCTGCCTGGGCAGCATAGTGAGACTTTGACTCTACAAAAAAAAGCAAACAATTAGCCAATTGCAATTAGCCACACCTGTGGTCCCAGCTTCTTAGGAGGCTGAGGTGGGAGGATTGCTTGAGCCCAGGAAGTCTAAGCTGCAGTGAGTCATGATTGTGCTACTGCACTCCAGCCTGGAGACAGAGTGAGACCCTGCCTCAAAAAAAAAAAAAAAAAAAAAAAAATTCCTCCCATCTATGAACGTGGGATATCTTTGTATTTATGTCTTCTTTCAGCATTGTTTTGTAGTTTCATTATACAAATTTTTTGCCTCCCTAGTTAAGTTTATTCCTAAGTATTTTATTCTTTTTGATGCCATTATAAATAGAATTGCTTTCTTAATTTCCTTTTCAGGTTGCTCATTGTTAGTACATAGAGATACACAACTGTTTTTTTGCACATTGATTTTTGTATCCTGCAACTTTGCTGAATTTGTTTAAATTTTTGGTAGAATTTTTAGGGTTTTGTACATGTAATCTGTGAACAGAAATCATTTTACTTCTTTCTTTCTCATTTGGATGCTCGTTCTATTGTTTTCCTTTAAAAAATTTTTTAAATATATATTTATTATACTTTACATTCTAGGATACATGTGCACAATGTGCAGGTTTGTTACATATGTATACATGTGCCATGTTGGTGTGCTGCACCCATTAACTCATCATTTACATTAGGTATATCTCCTAATGCTATCCCTCTCCCCTCCCCCCACCTCACAACAGGCCCTAGTGTGTGATGTTCCCTTTCCTGTGTCCAAGTGTTCTCATTGTTCAATTCCCACCTATGAGTGAGAACATGCGGTGTTTGGTTTTTTGTCCTTGTGATAGTTTGCTGAGAATGATGGTTTCCAGCTTCATCCATGTCCCTACAAAGGACATGAACTCATCATTTTTTATGGCTGCATAGTATTCCATGGTGTATATGTGCCACATTTTCTTAATCCAGCCTATCATTGTTGGACATTTGGGTTGGTTCCAAGTCTTTGCTATTGTGAGTAGTGCCGCAATAAACATACGTGTGCATGTGTCTTTATAGCAGCATGATTTATATTCCTTTGGGTATATGCCTAGTAATGGGATGGCTGGGTCAAATGGTATTTCCAGTTCTAGATCCCTGAGGAATCACCACACTGTCTTCCACAATGGTTGAACTAGTTTAGAGTCCCACCAACAGTGTAATAGTGTTCCTATTTCTCCACATCCTGTCCAGCACCTATTGTTTCCTGACTTTTTAATGATCGCCATTCTAACTGGTGTGAGATGATATCTCATTGTGGTTTTCATTTGCATTTCTCTGATGGCCAGTGACGATGAGCATTTTTTCCTGTGTCTTTTGGCTGCATTAAATGTCTCCTTTTGAGAAGTGTCTGTTCATATCCTTCACCCACTTTTTGATGGGGTTGTTTTTTTCTTGTAAATTTGTTTGAGTTCTTGTAAATTTAAGGACTTCTCTGCATTGGTTATTCTAGTTAGCCATTCGTCTAATCTTTTTTCAATGTTTTTAACTTCTTTGCGATGGGTTCGAACTTCCTCCTTTAGCTCGGAGAAGTTTGATCGTCTGAAGCCTTCTTCTCTCAACTCATCAAATTCATTCTCCGTCCAGCTTTGTTCCATTGCTGGTGAGGAGCTGCATTCCTTTGAAGGAGGAGAGGCACTCTGATTTTTAGAATTTTCAGTTTTTTGTTCTGTTTTTTCCCCATCTTTGTGGTTTTATTTACCTTTGGTCTTTGACGTTGGTGACGTACAGATGGGGTTTTGGTGTGGATGTCCTTTCTGTTTGTTAGTTTTCCTTCTAACAGTCAGGACCCTCAGCTGCAGGTCTGTTGGAGTTTGCTGGAGGTCCACTCCAGACCCTGTTTGCCTAGGTATCAGCAGTGGAGGCTGCAGAGCAGCGAATATTGCTGAACAGCAAATGTTGCTGCCTGATCGTTCCTCTGGAGGTTTCGTCTCAGAGGGGTACCTGGCCGTGTGAGGTGTCAGTCTGCCCCTACTGGGGGGTGCCTCCCAGTTAGGCTACTCGGGGGTCAGGGACCCACTTGAGGAGGCAGTCTGTCTGTTCTCAGATCTCAAGCTGCGTGCTGGGAGAACCACTACTCTCTTCAAAGCTCAGTTGGAAATGCAGAAATCACCCATCTTCTGCTATACTCACGCTGGGAGCTGTAGACTGGAGCTGTTCCTATTCGGCCATCTTGGAACTGCCCCCCACTTTAAAAATTTTTAAATGACACACAAAGATGTATTGGGCAAAACATATTTTGAAATGTGTATACCTGTGGAATGGCTTAATTAAGCAAATTAACATGCACTACCTCACTTATTTTCTGTGGTGACAACACTTAAAATCTACTCTCTTAGTGATTTTCAAGAATATGACATATTGTTATTAACTATATAGTCACTGTGTTGTACAATAGATTACTTCAACTTATTCCTCCTATCTAATTGAAATTTTGAATCCTTTGACCAGCCAACATCTCTCCAACACCCCCTTTTCCCCCAGGGCCTATTAATTTTTATGCAGATATTTTATATTTTTTATTTTGCTCTGTTAGATGTCATTTTCTGGGGAGATTTGCTAAATCTCCTACTATACTTGTGGATCCCAGTTACTTTTAAAAATTCCAGTGTCACTGTAAGCCATATGTTCTTGAAGACATATGGCATTTGAAATCGACAGTTGGTATCTGCCAACCATTGTTAGTGGGATACATGCACGACATATTTGTTGAACAAACATTTCTTGAAAATCCACTTTGTGTATGGCACTCAAGAGGCAAAGATCTTGAAGGTTGCAGTTGAGAGAAGGGAATCCGCACTGCCACACAAATATGAAGTTGTGTAATGTAGTAGGAGCATGAAGATATTCAATTAGAGAAACGTATGTGAATTCTTGCACTGCACTTATCGGTATATAATTCAGGTAAGTTACTTAATCTCTCTGCTCTTCTAGTTCTTCATTTGTAAAATATGAATAGTTTTTACCTACTTTACAGTATAAGTAAAGCTGCTCACACAGTGAATTTTTTGCATCACAAGCTGTATTTATCTAAAACATAGATTGATATTGTCTAGCCCATGGGTTATAGAAACACAGAAATTGGGTGACTGACTTTGCTAGGATTGGGATGATCTACATTTATCAAATGCCAATTGTGAATTAGGTAAATGAAGAGCCTCAGCATGTGCTGGGCAACACAGGTAGAAGATGGAAATATAGAACCTAAACCTAAGTTGGGCTGGTCCAAAGCTGTTGCTCTCCTGAGCTGACATTAAGCTGGGGCTTGAAGAATAAGGAAGATGCATTCAAAGTAGAGAGAACAGCTTTTGCTAAGTCACAGAAATATGGAAGCCCATGTTATGTTTGGGGAACACTGAAGACAGCCATGTCATTGATAAAAAGTGGTGAGAGTTAAGATTAGGAAATAAAATGGGATCCAGTTTAAAATGCCTTCCTATTTTGGATTTCAGTCTCTAAGCAGTGAAGAAATATCAAAGCATTTTGCAGAGTAGAGGCACATAATGTGCTTGATGAAGTAGAGAGAGGAAGGCTAGAGTATGACCAGTCAGTTGAAATTGAGGCTTCTGGAAAACTTGAAGCAGAGATATGCAGACTGGAGGTGGAGCCATGGCAGTGGAAAAGTAAGAACTCAGGGTGAGGCGGTACTATTGCTCAATCTGGAACTTTTAGCAGGAACCCAGGCACCCCAAACATGGCTTAAGTTCTCTAACTAGACAGAGCCAGTTGTTTCCTTAGTTATTTGAAAGTACTCTGAAATTCTTGCATGTACTGCATGGATTTAAATGCTAAACTTTGGCCTCTGCAGTTTTTAAACTAAGCTGGACATCTAAACTATGAGGAAGGTAACTTGTCCAATTAAACAAATCTGGCTTTGCCTTCATTGCTGCAGGTATTTGATTCTCTCTCAGGAGTATGCACACAGAGTTCGGAAAATATAACTGCATTGACCTGATGTTGTTTGAAGCTCTGTACACTTGAAGGAAGGAGGAGGTATTGCTTTCAAAGGCTCTTCATGTATTCATTCAGCTTGGATATAAGGTGGGATAGAACATTAAGGAACTCAGGAGATTCTGTAACTTATTTAGGGCAAAGAGCGAGATGGGTGATAGCTAATCATTGAGCACACATAGGATATGCGTGGTTCTTGGATGCTGTGTAGTTGAGAAACGGTCCTGCCCTATCCTTGAGGAACCTACTATGCTGGTAGGAACATGAAAGAGGGGAAACTGGTGAAACACAGACTTCTAGCTGAAAATGACTGAATATTTTGAGAAGGGGAAACATGTCCTACAGGTTGGCACAGAGATGGGACATGGGCCTTGGAATGACTTTGGAATCTGAGTCCTCCTGACTTTCAGTGTGTCACTGTGGCCGTTCTTCTCTTTCTTGAGAGTTATAATTGTGTCTCTTGTTGTCCCTGGCCTCATCTTTACAGTCTGTGGGGTGTTCACCCCTCATTTGCTCTCTCTGGTGTCCACCAACCCCTCCCTTGCCATTGCCTTTTTCATCCTCTCTTACCCTCTGGTTAGCATTTTTATTAGAAAATGGAAAACTTCAGTGATTATATGGAAGAACTGTGTCCAGCTGCTCAAACCCACCCAGTTTCTGTTTTTAGCTTCTCCACCACTTAAAAATAAGCAGCATCAGGTCCCACTTGCCAAGCCTTTGTCACAGTCTCCAGCAGCCATTCCTCCGGCCATCTGCTCCTCCAGATGCTCAGCCTGTCCCCACCTCCCGTCTCAGCCCCACATGCAGCCCCTCTGTGGATGAGTGAGGGGCTGGCAAGCCCACAGCCTCCAGCCCGACTGTGTCATCTGCCTCCCTTCCCCATGTATGTTTCTAGTTTTGTTTTGACCCACGTTCCTGCAGCCCCCCATCCCCGGCTTGTTTGCTCCCACCAATCCTGTGATTTCCAGGGAAAGGATGCTGCCTGGAAAAGAGGGATGAGTTGCCATGGAGATTTGAATATACACAGGAAGCCATGGACACCTCACACCTGGAAGTACAAACGAGTTTGACGTAAGTTTAGTTTAGCCCTAAGGTTTAGTTGGTTTGGGTTGCAGTCCTTCCCTTTGGAAGTCAGTGTCTTAGACGGAAGTTTAAAGCCAAGTGTTGCCATAGCTGAGTGTTGTCGTGACATTCCTCCATCTCATCTTAGTCTCTTGGATCACAGGCAAACTACTCAGAGGAATTGGAGGTCTGCCCTAGGCCAGTGTTCTGAGGGGCTTGCTGTAACCAGGCCAAAAGTCTAGCACCTGCCCTTGCACCTGAAGAGTGGGTATATTCACATTCACAGGGAGAGAAACTGCCCCGACCCACCCCCTGTCATGTACCGTAGAGACCATGTGGACAACTGGTCACCCCTGCCTGAGAACAAAGTGATTCTAATGAGCCCCACCTCCCATTCTTCCTCTTTCTTCTGGATTTCAGGAGTGTCAGGGGAGGAAGCTTGGAATTGGCGGCTACACCTTGCCTGTCTGTGGCCGGGGGCACAGGAGGCTCCTCCTCACTCTCCATGTGATGACACATGGTGGGCAGGATAGGAGGGGCCTGGTGGTTGAATACTGTGAAGGAACATTCCCTGCCCTGGGATGCATTTCTCTGGGTCTCAGAGGAAAGGGGGTGCATTTTTGGCATTACTCCTAATGCCCCCATAGACCAAGCAAGAACCCTGCTCTGTGATGAATGTAGGGGAGAACAATTCGCCCTTTCTCAACAGGGCTCTGCTGACCTTTTGGGCAGGACGGCTCCGTCCTGCACATTGCCGTGCGCTTATTATCCCTGGCCCCTGCCCACCAAATGCCACATTGCCTTGTAGTCATTGAGACAACCAAACATGCCCAGCAACTTTTCAAACATCTCCTGGGGGATAGTGCCACTCTCATTTTTTGCTGCCAGGAAATCAGATTGCTACAGACTAATCAACACTCTGAGAAGAGACCGGGACCAGACCAGAGCTCTCTTTTATCCTGATAAATTCCTATTAATGAAAATCAAATTCTATTTGTCCATTATTGCCTTAGCTGATGAACTTGGCAACTCTCTTTGTCATACCTGATGGCTTTTCACTGTCTTCTGGTATTCCCCCATTTCGTTTATAATTCTTCAACATGAATTCTCTTGTCAAGGGAGTTTTCAAGTATCTAAGCCATGAGGATGGTGACTTAACACATGAGGCATGCCTCCCACTCGTGAGGCTTGCATCCCGGTGATGAAGGACCACAGGGGTAATCGCTGTAGGACTATGGAAAGGAGAGTGTAAGAGAAAAAGCCTTTAAAGTGGAGGCTTTGGCCCTGTGGCCCTAGAGATTCCGAAAGTTAGATTTATTGATGTAGCTGGCTGGTCAAAGGGAATATACCCTCTAATTTTGTCCATATGACCTGTTTCCTCCTGGGAACTTACCCCGAGAGCTCCTATAAACCAGTAGCTGAGCCAGGAGGTTCCCAAGGTGGAGAGAGAGATCCCTGATGTCAAAACCATCACCTTCCAAAATGTCCAGAGAATGCAAAGAGGAGAGATGGATTGCAGCTGAGACTCCTGTCCCCTTTGCTGTTAGTTATTACCCTCTTGTGGATGAACCTGACAGATCCCACCCCCTTTTCCTTTCCTGTAGCCCATCATTCTTTTTCCCCACTGTTTCACTGTGAAAATGAACAATGCTCTGTTCATTTTGCTGCTTATTGGCATGGCTAGTTTTGTCAGAGGATGAGGCTGTTGGTTAAAATTAGGTTTTTGGATTCCTTGATCATCGTCTATTTTGTCTCCTACCCACTCACCCTGGGGGATAATCAAGAATTGCCTATGGGCATCTTGATTTCTCCTTTAAATCCTTTTAGTTTGATTCTAACAGGCTGTGCTTTAACATTCTTGCTTATTTAAATTTTTTTTTAATTTCTAAATTTTTAAAAAACATTTATAAAATTGAATTGTAGTCATTCATTTCAGATTTTAGTTGCCCCCCCTCTCCTTCCTATCTCTGAGATCAGCAGCTCCTTCACAGTTGGTATGATTTTGACTTTTTTTTTTTTTCCTAAGTAGATATAGGAATTTATGGAACCATGTAGCTTAGAATATGGGGGTAGTCACAGAATCAAAGGAAGCACGGTAGGAGCTGGGGCCTCAGGGCTGGACAGAGGAGTCCTATGCCTCCAATACACGCTGTCTGTTCTTACCTCCCTTGGCCCTCAGCTCCTCCTCCTGCTGTGTCCAGTCCTTACCCTGCCCCAAGTATCAGCTCCACAGTCCTGCTTAGCAGCCCCAGGCAAAGAGAGTCTTCCTCTCTCAGTACCTCTGTTGATTATTTAATACTTGTAATCACTTCCTACAAAAGAAGAGCCACTTAGCTTAACAAGCTATGTGCACTCTCGGTAGTTGACGTTAACAAAGGAAAAATCACACAGGGCCTTTGTGTTCCCTTCTCAGGATGTGAGGCTGGGGGAGACTGATGGGGTTAGAACAGAAGTGGTGGAGTGTCAGACTCAGTGGATCCCTTAGGAATCAAATGTCTTGTTAGTAACCGCAGTATCTGGAGAGAATTACTTGGACGTATTTATGTCAATTAAGACAATTCATATTTTCTTAATCCATTTTGGATCTTCCTCTGTCTCCCAACTTCCTCTCACCCTGCCTCCCTAGTTACTGCTAGTTGAGTCAGTAATACCCAGAAAATATCTTCCTCTGCTTTAGAATGCAGAAAGTGGTAGATTAATGTCCCATTATTCTCAGAGGTGAAGAGTGCTGAATAATAAGCCTGCTCCTTCCCCATTTCTCTCTCATTAACAGTTTTCACACCATGTAGTTATCTCGTACCAGGTCTTGTCTGACAGTGTCCTCTTGTACGTGCCTGTGGCCTCCTAGAGCAGGGGCAAGACTAGAGGTAATCTTGCCTGGTGGCCTCTAAGTAGAGACACCCTACATCACTGGAGAGCATTCCAGAACAACCATGATCGGGCAGACATCTCACTGTCCACTGCACAGCTTCTCTGTGAGCAGGCCACACTTGCGTCTGGCAGCAGTAAAAGCACGTTCCACAGTGATGTTGGAGCAGAGAGCCGTGGGTGGGGAGATGGGGTGACAGAGGGTAGCAGCCAGATCTGAGAGTTAAGAACAGACCCTGGGGCTGGCAGGAGAGAACAGGAGGAGTCAGAAATTCATTTCTCTAGATGGAGAGGACACTGACCATGATGCCAAAGCAGTCACAGGAGATTCACAGTAGGGCCGCATAATAAGTAAGCCTCTTGCTGAAGACTCGCCCTCCAATTTAGTCCTTTTTGCCTGTCATGAATTGCATCGGCTGCTGTCATTGAGTCATTCCGAGTTCTGTTTGTAATTGGAACGCAGCTGAAATTAGGGTGCACGTGACCCTAGAGATGTGTGGGTTTCTGGAGGATATTCAGGAAATATCTCCAGACCCTTTGCTCCCTCTTTCTCTGTGTCTGTGGATTAGGCGGAGGTGCTTATCAGATACCCTGGGCCCCTGCATGTCCCGCTGCTGTGCTGTACCTGGTTCTCATTCTGAACACACGGTCCCTTGGGGTGGTCCCCGTGCATGTGCTGATAGGGCTCGCACACTCCAGCACAGCGACCTCACTCAGAGGGGCTCCCAGAACAGTCAGGATAAAGGCTTTGTTTGCTTTATGAAATCCCTGGGAAAATCTTAAAAGGAGAAGTGCAATAAAGAGCTAGGAAGGACAAGTGGAATTCTTTATTGTGATGCTGTAAAACACCCCTCCAGCCTTGAGTATTTCAGGCACGCCGATACACTTCATCCTCAGTGCCGACGTGTGCTGCGGGTGAAGTGTGGGCCTGAGCTCTGACTCCAGCAGTAGGCTCGGCTCACACTCATTGTCCTACACTCTTATTATGAGATTGCTCTTAATAGCATGTCAGGTTTAGGGGGTGGTTGGATGGCTTCCCAGGGTCAGTGTAACTGGCCCAGGGGATCATGCTGATCTTGACCTAATTCCATGGAGCTATATATACTAGTTATCACAGACAGCAGTTTGAAGTTCTTGCACCTGTAGGTTTACATGCAGAAAGCAAGTGGAGGTGGGAGGGCTGCTAAATCCTAACTGGCTTCAGTGCTTGTATTCCACATGTCAGAGGGAAGCCCTCGCATTTTGTTCCACCTCAAAGAAACAACTTGGGGTATGTCACTTCTTTCCTTAGGGTAGAATGAACATGGTGCAAGAGTACACTTTTGTTTTGTTTCGAGACACGCTCTTGTTCTGTCACCCAGACTTGGAGTCCTGTGGTGTGATCATGGCTCACTGCAGCCTCGAACTCCCGGGCTGAAGCAATCCTCCCACCTTAGCCTCCCGAGTAGCTGGGACTACAGTCATATGCCACCATGCCCAGCTAATTTTTAAATTGTTTTTGTAGAGATGGTATATCACTATGTTGCCTAGGCTGGTCTTGAACTCCTGGGCCCAAGTGATCCTCCCACCTTGGCCTCCCAAAGTGTGAGATTATAGGCATGAGCTGCCACGCCCAGACAGGAATTGAAGTTTTGAGAGCTGTTTAAATAATGACCTGGTTTGGGCTCTGTGGGGAGGCGTCCTGGGCTGGTGACAGAGAAAGCTGGATGGTATCTTAGCCCCATTTTTTCCACCCTTGTCATGAGATGCTTTCTTGCCATTTTTCCCGTAGGCCCGATACTTCTCCCCACAAGCTCGCCGTCGATTCCACGCTGCCCTTGCTTCTTGTTCCACCTCGATGCTGATCCTGTCCAACCTGGTATTTCTTGGGGGCAATGAGGTTGGGAAAACCTACTGGAATAGGATCTTCATACAAGGTAAGTTGCTTGACAGTGCTGTTTTCAGTCAGTTTCTTGTTTTCCATGTATGCGGATGGGATCATACATGGGATGGATGGGATTTGGGGGAAGTCATTCATTGTTATGTTCATGGCATGTGACCTCTAAAGTACCAGCCAGGAATAATTTCCTAAGTTTGACTATGACTTTAAGTGTCCCCTGTTTTTGAGGTACCCCATATCTCCTGTATGTGATACTTGTTTAACACCAAAAGGTATTATTCCAACTCTCCCAAAGTGTATATTCCCTTCCATTACACTATGTTTCCAATTATTTGATATTTCTTAATCTTTCCTACTGCTGTGGTTGAATATTCCCTTCAAAACTCATGTTGAAACTTAATCCCCAATTGGCATTATTAAGAGATGAGGCCTTTAAGAGGTGATTGGATCATGAGGGGTCTGCCCGCATGAATGGATTAACCCATTCATGGATTAATGGGTTATTATGGAAGTGGGACTGGTGACTTTACAAGAAGAGGAAGAAAGACCTGAGATAGGATGCTCAGCCTCCTCATCACGTGATGCCCTGTGCTACCTGGGGACTCTACAGAGAGTTCCCACCAGCAAGAAGGTCTTCACCAGATGCAGCCCCTTGACCTTGGACTTCTCAGCTTCCGTAACTGTAAGAAATAAATTCCATTTCTTTATAAATTATACAGTTTTAGATATTCTGTTATAATCAACAGACAACAAAGACACCTACTGTCTGTGGGTCCTAGCCTGCAATATACTGCAAAATCTAACCTTGTTTTGTTTATTGCTCTGAACGTCCTACTAGGAATTTGCCCTAGAAGCTTCCTTGTGCTCTCCTGAAGCTGTGGGCATGGCATCTGTGTTTGCCACAGCTCTTGGTTGTGGGTATTTTTGTGTGAATACTAGGGGCCAACCTTATGTTTAATGTGCATTAAATAGATAATCTGAATATCCAAAGCAAAACCATACTTGCAGCAGGTAAACTGCTACTATGTGGGAGTTGTCAAAACATTCTATTAATAATTGATCGTTGTTTATTTATGGTCACCATTTCCCTTGGGCTGGGACTGAGTTACATCATATCTATAAGAGAATTGGGAGATTTGGAACTACTCATGGTACATACTACTATAGCCAACTTGCTACATCTTAAAAGAGAAGATCCCTGCTCTGTTCCCTGCCCAGTGACACAGTCTTGTGCTTTTGCTTTGGGAAGCTTTGCCAAGTGGTGATGACATAACTCTGCACAGCTGGCCCATTATCTCCACATCTGGGTCCCTGAGGAGGCAGCGGTGCTTTTGCTGCAGCTCTTTTCACACCAGAAATAACAGCAACACAGCTGCAGTATTCCAGAATGGCAGACCATGGGCCTAAACTGTGGCAGCCTTGGGTGAGCCAGGCTCAAAGGGCCAAGAGAGAGTCCTGTTCTACTTTAATCTTGTCACTAAAAGACCCCTCTTTGATCTTGTTTTCTGTGCGATGTTTTAGCTGATAGTTCCTGAAAAGACCACGTACTTTCTAAGCGAAAGCTGTCCTTTAATAAAGATGAGAGATAATAGGGCATTATGGATCTAAAGATAAAGGTGGGTTACAGCATCCTTTACTTTTCTTGGCTCCTCTCACAGAACCTAGCACAATGATAAGAACATTGTGACTTGGTGGGGGGAAAGTGCGGACTTGGTTTGCTTGTCACATAATGAGGAGGCTCTGATTTTCGCTTCCCTAAATCAAATGCATTGGATGTTTGCTACTTGCGAGGCACTGAGAACACAGAGATGAAAAAGGAAGCTCACACGAATGTGAGTGCCAAACACACAAAAATGTGCAGTAGATTCAGGGAATTGCTCTGCTGGATGTATGAGTGAGTTACTGGAGGTCACAGGATAGAGTAGCTGACTTTCCACAGAAGATGGGCTTTTCAGAAGAGGTGGCATTTGAATTGAAGTAATAATTTAGGAGTTTGCTAGGTAGAAAAGGCAGGCATATCAGGGAAATTAACACTGGCTGCTTTGTGTGAAACTCCAAAATCTTAGTAATTTCTCACCATAGAAGTTTGTTTCTCTGACAGTTCAATACAAATCCAGTGGCTTTTTCTAAGCAGTGACTCCAGGACCTAGAATCTTTGTTTTGATTCTCCACTGTCTTGTGCTGGCATCATGGAGGGGAAGAGAACATGAGACTGGTGCACCAGGTGCTCAAACATGTGACATTTCTGCTTACATGTCATTGGCCAGAGCCAGTCATATGACCAACCCAAGTACAGGGCAGGGGTGTGTAGGGAAGCATGCAGATATCAGTGTGCACCAGCTGTCTATGGCACAGCAGGAGAGGCACATGGGCCTGGTCAGAAATGCCCAAGAGGCAGTTGGAAATATGAGTTGGAGAAGATGGTGGGACCAGTGATTGAGATGTGTGGGGGTCAAGGGCGTAAAGATTGTATGTGAGGCCAGGGGAGTAGACACAATTAACCACGGAGCTGTGTAGAATGAGAAGAGAACAGGTGGGAGAAACCCCAGGGAATGCTGGTATTGAAGGGGGCAGAGAGAAAGGCAGGAAGATCAAAGTGTGACTTGCCTGACATCCTATGGAGTTAACCTCAGTCACATGGGATTGGGCTCTGAAAACCCGGTCTGCTGCTGCCTCATGGGACCAGCTATGGTCTGTGACTGAACGCACTATTTGTGTCCTCCTTGGACTCAGGTGCCACAGCCCTGGGAACTCTGATTCTATAAAAGTGGAGGGCTCTGTGGAATCATCTCTCTTCTGGGTTCTGAGGCCAGAGAAACTCAGCTTAGAAGGCTTTTTCTATGTCAGTGATTATCCAAATGAGCCTGTTTGCATCTCTGCTGGTCTGTCCCATGGGCCTCCTGAGTCAGGGAATGTCTGCTGGGGTTTTGGCAGTTGCCGCTTCGTCTATTCCTTGCTGTGGGTTTTTGTCCCTGAAGGATTGGGTTTAGATATCTCTTGGAGGAAAGTGAACCAGATGGTGCCCAATCTCCCATCCTGGAGAACTCTGGATTTCATTTCATAACTAATTTGACTTGATAGAAGATTAATATGAATATTCATGTTTTGGTGAAAAAAAATAATGAGTCTATACGATGCTCCCTCAGTCTCTGCTGGGGGTGTTCATATATGAGCTTTCTAAAGTTAAAAAAATCTGAATTCCGAAACTCATCTGACCCCAAAAAGTTTAGTTAAGGGATTGTCAAACTGTATATGGAGTTGTTGACAAATGTGCACCTTTGACAGCCTTGTAGTCTTGGCATCTTCCCTGGGACACATGATCAGTTCCTGTTGCTCCAGAGCCCATCTTTACACACTGAGGAAATAGAGTGAAGCGAGTGAGAACGCTGACTTTAGGCATGGAGAGCATTTAAGCTCAGTGTCTAGATTTCCAGGTTTAAGGGAAAGGTGGCCCTTCCCTCTGCACCTTGATGGGTTGGGACCTGCTGCAGCAAGAGGGAGGAACCACTGACACCACATCCCTCTAACAGGTCTCACCTCAGAGTCCTGGAAGAGCAGGAAGGGGCAGACGGGTATCTAGGAGATAGGGATTATTGAGGAGATTTGCACACACCTCACAGCTAATGGGGTGTGGATACACATGTGTCTTAAAAGATACACCTCATTGTTTCCCAGGGAGCCCTCTCCTGGCATCACTGATGTGCCTAGAAGTATCTCATGATTCGCCTGGAAAAGTTGTCTTAAAATTGGTATCTTCCTGTCACCAGTTCACTTGAATTTAGCCATAGATTTGCTTGCTCTAAACTACAAAGTTTATTTTAGTGATTTCCATGAAAATGTCTGTCCTGGTCTCTGTGGGTCATATGGGTGATATGAGGCTGTAAAACCAGACCCTTCCCTTTCTGTTGTGCCCCTGCCCTGCTGTCTAAAGAGTGGAAGACAGAGTCTGAAGGCAAGGGATAGAAATGCTCAGTGGCAAACCTAGGGCTCTGGTAATATGTCATCCACAAAACAGTTTTGGTCAGGAAGTGTTACCTCTGCTGCTGAGGTTGAAGAAGTAGTGTTCAGTTTATTCAGCAGAAAATAAGGAATCTATGTTTTTGCTTTAAAAAAAACTCCAAATTTTTAATATTGAAGTTTACTTCAAGCTGCTTGAGGAATATGCATATCTAGGGCTCACAAACTTTATTTAAAAGACTTAGCTGGTCCATGGATCTGAGAAGGATATGGCTGGAGATTTGGTCCAAATGCTGTTCTAGGAGGAATTCTGCTGTGTCATGCTTTGCAGAGACCAATGCAGGTTGCTTTTTACAAGCCCTTTGGCTCTCAGAAGCACTTGTTAATAGAAGGAGCTTTCTCATGCCTACCATAAATCTTTGACATTGAAGCATAATATCTTCAACAAGCAGCTGAATAGAGCTCTGTAATTCAAAGGTATCAAGGAGTTGTAACTCCAGACCAGCAAGGCCAGTCCCCATAAACCAGCTGTGACCTAAGCATCTTGGCAGTGATCTCTCCACCGTCCTGGGGTAATGAGGAGAAAAAGTATTCAAGGGGGGGTGTTTATACACTGGGAATATATCTGGCCTTGAGAGGGTGGAGAGCCTTATAATGTGTGTATGGGTGCAGAATGGTGCTTCTTCTGAAAAGTCTGCCTGCTTTTGTCCAGGGAAGCCATGGACTTTGTTTAAAAAAAAGAAAAAAAAGGAAAACCAAAACATTTCCCAAGTGGTGGGGCCTGGATCACTGGGGTGATCCAGTGATAATGTTGCAGTGACAAGAGCTTGGTAGAGATGTGGCATCCACCAAACATTGCCTTGTCTGATGCCTCATTACACACACACACCTGTACACACATGCACACGTACACACATGGATGTTTGTTTTTCCTTCTATTATCCTATCTATTTTGGCAAGCTCTGCCTTAACACTTAGCTCCTGGAGTGACCCCATGCCAAGGCAAGGAGAATTTGGTTCTTTTTCCCTCTAGATTGCAATGAGAGAGGAGCTGGTAATTTTCTTATGCAGGTCCCCATATTTTCTTGCTATTTCTAGCTGAGAGAAGAGAAAGTATATTTTCTCCCTGATTACTAGCTTGTCTGAGCAGTTTATTTGTCTCCTAACTCAAATGGTTCTGGACAGGCATTTTATTTAAAGCTGAACTGGAGTATTGCACTAGAGATTCTGGAGGGTTGTTATTAAATAGAAACTCATTCCCATCATATCTTCTTAAATTCTTGGGATTAAAAATTTCATTTCTGATGAAAGAGGACGGAGGGCAGGTGTCGGTGTCTCAGAGGCCATCCTTTCTGATGACTTTGTTTCGCGGTCTTTCCTAGCCCTTCCCTCTAAGTGGAGTTTTCACTGCTATCATTGATTGTGTCTCTACCTCACTGGATCCTCTGAGAGTTCTAGAAGAGTTTGAGAAGCAGGTGCTTCCTGTGCATCATACCTAAGGGTGATGAGGTTGACATGTAGATGTAGGTTAGACAGTCTATCCGTGTTTACATCATTGGTCCATTTATGACCATTCTTGGAATCTGAATGTCAAGACTTGCAGAAGCCTTGGTTTCTTTACTGTATGCCACATGGCCAGCCAGAGGCCTTGGGCATTAGTTTTCCTACAAGTAATTCCAGCCAAGTCAACCAGGCATAGAATGTGAGGAATAGTGAGTGAAAGTCCTTATTCAGAAGTGCACCTGGGGTTGTGTTAAAGCTGAAACAAATTCTAAAACACCCAGGAAGGGCTTTCAACCAGAGAACACTTAAAGCTTTTGTGCTAGGTTATGGAAACTTTTTCCTGCTAATCAGAGTTTCCAGGGCACTGAACGCTGACCACTTGCTGTGTTGCCACATTGGTTCCCTATGGCTACTGTAACAAGTTATTACAAACTTGTTGGCTTAAAACAACACAAGTTTATTTTTCTTACAGTTCCGAGGACCAGAAGTTTGAAATCAGTCTCACTGGGCTAAAGTCAAGGTGTTGGCAAGGCTGGTTCCTTCTGGAGGCTATAGGGGAGAAGCTGTTTCCTTACCTTTTCCAGTTTACAGAGACGGGTTTCTTTTGGCTCATGCCTTCCTTCCTTCCTCTGTTTTCAAAGCCAGCAGTGTAGCATCTTCAAACCATGTTTCTTCATCTCTCTGCTTCTGTCACACATATCTGCCTCTTGTCTTGCTGTCTCCTCCTGTTTCTGTTTTTTTTTTGTTTTTTGTTTTTTGTTTTTTTTTTTTGAGACGGAGTCTCTGTCACCCAGGTTGGAGTGCAGTGGCATGATCTCAGCTCACTGCAACCTCCGCCTCCGGGGTTCAAGGTATTCTCCTGCTTCAGCCTCCCGAGTAGCTGGGATTACAGGTGTGCACCACCACACCCGGCTAATTTTTGTATATTTAGTAGAGACGGGGTTTCACCATGTTCGTCAGGCTGGTCTTGAACTCCTGACCTCATGATCTGCCCAACTCAGCCTCCCAAAGTGCTAGGATTACAGGCGTGAGCCACCGCACCTGGCCTCCTCCTCTGTCTCTCTTATAATGACCTTTGTGATTCCACTGGGCCTGCCCGGATAGTCCAGAGTAATCTCCCATCTCAAAATCTCTCATTTTGATCACCTTAGCAAGGTCCCTATTGCTGTGTGAGGTGACTTTGACAGGTCTGGGGGCTTAGAGGGTGGGCATCTCTAGAGGAGCCGTTACTCAGCCTACCGCAGCATGCTGACATGGGCAATTGCTATGGTGCAGAACACCCCTTGGTGACACCACTACCATAGCTTCTTTCTAAAGAGATTTGGTTATAATAGCAATTTGGATGTGCCACTAGCCTCCTTAAAATGTGAATCTCCCTGTCAAAAGAAATAATAATTAAATTTCACAGAAGGACACAAGTGAGATTTGTTATCTTCAGGGAATTTCAAGGGTGGTGTTGAGGACTGCTGCAGTTTTGCCTGCTCAGTGTTTGTTTCCAATTCTTTGGTAACAGCCCCCTGCTTTTCCTTTGGGAACAGATCTCTCCCACCCGCTCTCAGTCTGTGTGATTCAGGTGGGGCACACCCCGTATCTAAGATCTGCAAGCAACATGCGACCCAGGACTCGCCAGGCAGTAGGGTCCATCTCCCTGTGTGATACAATTCCAGAGCTTTTGCTGGAACTATTGGGAAGCAGAAGCAATCTCTCCTTTGGAGTGTGGAGTTGTCAGGATGCAGAGCTGGAGCTGCTGAGCCCTCTCGTCTTCCTAGTGGACAGCCGTGGAGGCGGGGGGCCAGCTCAGAGGAAGGCAGAGCTGCAGGATGGAAACTGAAGCCATATAATTTTGAGCCCCTAGATCGAGGAATGCCTGAAGCCAACATATCTTTGTATTTTTCTGTTACAGGAGGTTTATTTTTATTTTTTTTACTCAATCCATGTTGGGAGACAGCATTCCAGGGCTTTCCTGTGTTTCTGCATTTCTTACAAACAGAGGTACTGGCTACCTTTGTTCCCAACTATTTTTCCTGGAATATTTGTATAGAAAACACCTCCGAATTGTCCAGCTACTAAGCAGCAATATCAGGTGAGATTATAAGCCCTTTGACTCCAAATTCTACTCTTCTCTCTCTGCTCTGTGAGGCCTAAATCATGACAGGCAACCACTGTTTACACCATGAACCATCCCTGGGTGTCACTATCAGAGACAGTCTAAAGTGCCTGGTTAATTGTTCTGATTCTTAGTACTTCTCCACTGAGCAAGTTGGGAGGGTGACAAGAGTCAGACCTTCCAGCCTCTGGGACTGATAGACCAGCTTGAGGCTTGCTAGCTGGATTGGCACTGACCAGTCTACACACCTACAACTCTTTATCCCAAGCCTGCTCAGTTGGTCAAGGACTCTGGCTTCCCTCTTTAGATTTACTCTGACATTGCATTAGATTGCTCCCACGCCCTGTTTCCAGTGTAATTACTCTTTTCCAGACCAAGAAAGCAGTGGAAAGAGGAAATCATTTTGTTTTGGCACACAATTTCAAAGACCAGGGAAACAGAATTATCTCAGGGTGGCTGTCATAAGAGCTGAGGGCCTGTGACTGTCACATGTAAGGGCGGCGCTGGAAATGCAACAAAGGACAACAGCATGGCTGGCTGTGGTTCTTGTCTTTGCAGTGAAGATCAGAAAGTGGAATCCAGGGGACCTTTTCCTTGCCTCAGGAATTCTATCTGGCATGATGGTCATTTATCTTGAGTGTAATTAAGGCACTCAAATCTTTCAGTTAATATTCAACAAATGGGAGTGAAGACTATACAAAAAAACTTTTCATTATCTTGAAACAAAGACGGAAAAAAGCAAATCCTGTTTTGTCAGCACCTGTTTGGTATCATGTAAGATTGTTGAAGGGTCAGAGCTTCCAGCTGACACCTGTCAATTGGGCCTAGTTGGGCCATTTTTCTCTGTACTAACCTAACTCTCCCAGCTGCCGGTGGCTGCCCTGATCACATTAGCTGCTGCTGTGGAGTATTCTCTCTAAGGGGAAGCTACTGAAAGGGCAAAGCATGGAAAAGAGTGTGTTACGGTTGAATTGTGCCCAGCTGATGAAGTCCTAACCACCAGTACTTCAAAATGTGACCTTATTTGGAAATAGGGTCTTTATAGAAGTGATAATGAAGCAGCATCATTGTCTAGGGTAAATACCCGAGGTTTGTCATCTCACAGCAAGGAAATCGAGTATGCGGACACACAAGAAGTGGGTTTAGGAGTGGAGGTTTAATAGGCAAAAGAAAGAGAAAAGGGAACAGCTCTTTGTCTTGAGGAGGTGATGTCTGATTTACATAGGGCCCAAAGATTGGTTGGACCAGGTGTGATGTTTACATGGCATGAGGAAGCTAGCCTGGCTGGTGCCATGTCACCTGCTCATTACTGTACACATGGTTGGCAAAGAAAAGGGAAGATGGAGCCGCCATTTTGGACATGCCTACTCCCCCCATAGCCTCTTTCCTATTGGCACAACTGCCGGCATTCAAACTGCCATGCCAGCTTCCAGCTTGCTTGTCTATGTCTGCGTTCGATTTTACAAGCTGCTCTTTGTTAGAAAATGGTTTGGGGGCTGCTTTTCATTAAAAGGAAAACCTTACCGAGGACTTCCTCACTATCTGCCTAAATAACTTCTTCTTACTTCCTATATCAATAAGTTAAAAATGAGATTATTAGGGTAGACTCTGGTGTCCTTATAAAAAGGGGAACTTTGAATACTGAGATAGACATGCACAGAGGAAGATAATGTAAAACCACAGGGACCCAGGCGGCCATGGGGAGATGGAGGCAGGGATTGGAGTGATGCTGCCACAAAGGAACACCTGGAGCCACCAAAAGCTGGGAAGAACAAGGAAGGCTCCTCCCCACCAGATGTTGAGGGGAGCCTGTCCCTGCTGGCTCCTTGATTTCAGATTTCTAGCCTCCGTAACAAACAGACACTAAATTTCTGTGGTTCTAAGCCACCTGGTTGGTAGTATTTGGTTCTGGCTGCCCTAGGGAATGAATATAGGGAGGATTCTGTTGTGTGGAGTATGAAGTTGGGGTAGGGAGAGGTACTGAGATGGGCTGCCAGTGACTCTTCCTCACTGTAAGAAACAGTTCATGAGTCCAGCAGCTGGAGGGCCAGAAACGCCCACTTCAAATGTTCAGGTCCACATGATGGTTAGACTTTGCTGTCTGGGCATGGGCCCTAGGACAGACATTCCAACAGTGTGAAGTGAGGATGGGAGTAGTCAAATGCCCGGTCGCAGCAATGTCACATGGTTATCCAGAGGCACAGTGAGGGCCCTGGGAGGTGAGAAGCAAGGAAAGCCAGCCTTCTGGTTCCTGGAGAGCCATTGTCTTTCACAGGTGATCCAGGTCAGGCAAGAGCAGGGATGTGGTAGGTGAAGGCAGGTGAGCAGAAACAGGGCCCCACAGTGAGTGTCCCGGATGCACCAATAAGCCACTTTTAAAACAAAGCCAAACTTCCAGCCCCCGCCTGACTTCATATTTATCTTCTCCTCTTCTGCCCTTCTCTAACCCCTGACATTGATTACACAGGAAGCAGCAGATAGGAATAACTAGCCTGGCAGTGTATGTCACCCTGTGTCAGGCTGGCAGATTGAGGCTTCCGGGCAGGGCAGGCAGAGCTGATACTCCACTTGAGAGCCACCCTGCATCCCACCAACCCAGGGCCGAAGCCTTTGTCCCCTGGGCGCTTGCTGGCGCATGTGCCCACAGAGCCTCTCTGCGCCCTTTTGTTCTCCTCTGGCTATTGTAGCGTGCCAGCTGCTGACCACTCTTGCCCAGAGAAGGAGGCAGCTGCTAATTTTAGCCCTACTTAGGTCTCCAGACAGCACATCTCAGGACTTAAAAAAAAATATTTTTTGGTTACATTTTTACATGACCTTGGGAAACAAAAAATTGGGAAGACTTCACCTGATATCAGTAAAATGAAAAGGGAAATTTAACCTTTGTTTTAAAAAAGTTATTGTATTTCTTTGCTGTTAGAAATCTCCTGGGGCCAGGGGCAATGTCTAAGAGAGTTTACTTGTAACCTGTGGCTTTTAGTGGGGTAAGAAGACAGACAACTGAGCGCTAAGCCACGGGATAGAACATTCCGCCCAGAGAGCACTAGGAAGATGTTTCTGGCCTGCTTGGGGGAGGCCAAGCCACCCTGTTGATGACAAGGGAATGTGGATTTTTGCTGGGTAAACCTGATTTCCGTTTTTCCCCATTGTTTACATGTTGGGTAGATGGGACCACTCTCATTTGTCTTGGTTCCAAGCTGGGTCGCCTCAGTGAGAAGGCCTTTGAAACACATCTGTTGAATCATGCACAGCAGGGAGCCATTTGTGTTCTGAGGGTTGTCAATCATAGAAAATCTGAAAAATACCAGACAACATAATGGCACAGCAGCCAAACCATGCCTGGACATTTTCTGGTCACACAGGTCTGTCTGTGGAGCTGCGCTTTTTCTCAGACAGTCATTGGGTTTCTTTTTAATAAGCTAGAAGAAACCAGCTAAGTTTTAACTTAACAAAATTGTTCCTGATCTTGTTGTTTTTCTGTTTGTGTTCACAGTTATCCATAACTTACTTTAGTCATATTTGAAGCTAACCTCTTGATTACTTTTCTCACTTTATGACCGCGCTTTAAGATTGCTGGAGGGTTGGCTCATGACTTTTGGATTGCAATACAAAATTTCTATCAGCCAGGGCTTTACTAAGAAAAGCAAAAGTACATGGCAAGGAAATAAGCAATGTGGGAAGCATCTCAGCTTATCTGAGGCAGGAGAAAGAGGGACAGTGGTCAGCTGGGTCTGGGTGCAAGGCTAAGTTATTTTTACAGAGAATACTGCTAGAAGGAGAGGGTTTTGGGGACATAGTGCTTTGATATATGCATTGAGGACAAAAAGGTGAATGGCTCAGGGATGCACCAATAAGCTGATTTTAAAACAAAGCCAAACTTCTAGCTATCACTTGCCTTAATATCTGTCTTAATTTTGTCTTCTGGGTGAGAAAGTCACCATAGAGGAGGTGACATCAGAGGTGGGCTTAATGGATGAGTAAGTCCAGACTCGGGGGATGGGGCACAGCCTGTACAAAGATATGGAGGTATAAATCATATATTCAAGAACTGCAAGCATCCTGGGATCATAGCCAGAGAGAATGCAAGGTGTGATATTGATGAGTAAGCTGTTTGCACCAACAAACACCAGGAAGGTAACCTGAGGATCAGAGAAGCCCATACATGCCATGCTGAGGTGTGTGCACTTCATCCTTAGTAGGCTGAGAGAGGCAGGAACTACAAGGATTTTTGCAAGAGAGTGACATGATTTTCATCTTTGAAAGATCTATCTAGAGGTCATGTGAAGGGGAGCAGTACTAGGCGCAGGGTGATCAGGGGGAGGCGGTGGGAAAGATGATGAGGCTGTCAGCTATGGCTGTCGCGCATCAAAGGACAGAAAAGATGGAAGAAGAAATCTTCAGAGTTCTCCCAGGGAGAATTTTAGGGAATCTGTTAAGTCTTCATAATTTGTACAATAATGGTTTTGGTACCTCTGAGATGGGCAAAAATACTTGAGGTTTATCCTTTTTATTTGGTAGCTCATTATAGATTAATTTCTGAAGTTTGGAGAAAGAATGGTCACTCCAGATTTCCCCTCTGTTTCTTTGGCTTTGCCCCTAGAATTTGAAAGGATATGCAAGTGCCAAGGAGAATGTCAAAACAAAGAGGGGACGCTTTGCGGAGATGAGCCACTTATTCCACGTACTACCTGAATGAATACTTTTTCCAAGGCTAAGTTCGTTCTGGAAGGGGGGTGCCTTTTATAGAAAGTGTTTGTTCTCTGCAGATATTTTACAGATATTTCAGGTTCGTCTTTTGTTTCCTTAAACATCAATAAGCATAGCTGCTTTGTAATCTATGTTTGATACTTTAAATATTTTAAATCTGTATGAATCTGTGTCTGCTGTGTTCTTGTACTGCTGGGTTTTACCCCTAACTTCTCTTTCCTTGGATACTTGGTTATCTTTGTCTATGTGCTGCCCATTATCTTGCTTAATTACATGTGAGGTATTCCTGAGGCCTAGTGTGAAGGTATCTTCCTCCAGACAAAATTTGTGCTTGTATCTGCCAGACCAATAGGGCTGACCCAATAGTTACATTTCCTTAGGGAGGGATTCACTTCCCTCCCCTTCTCCTTTGGAGGTGGGAACTAGGTTTACTTCTGGTTCACCCTTAACCTGAGGATGATTATGATTATTTTCTGGGCCCCAGCTTAATGTGTTTTTGAGGTCCACCTGTTAGACTTATTGCTTTTGTCAGGCTCTGGGATTTTTCTTCTGCTATCTTATCCCAAAGGCTGCAGCACAGTCTAGACAGACAGATGTCTTCAGGAAAAAAACAACTTTAAGAACTTTCTTTGCCTCCTTTGGTTCTCATTTTCTCTTAGATTTTGGCCTGGTTATTCCTTACTGTCTTTCCGGAATGTTGCTAGCTGTTTGGGGAAAAAATTAAAATATTTATCTGACAATTTTAGAATTCTATTTTCTCCCAGTGGTAGTATTGGTACAAATAATATACCTACCATTGCCGGAAACAGAAGTCTTAGATTCTACAGAAATCCTGCTTTTCCTCTGAGTCAAACATCCCAATTGAAACATCTAAGGTATGACAATATGCTTCAAATATAAATAGGAAGTGTTAGGTAAATGCCTTATTAGTGAATTCATATTGAATTGCTAAGAGAAGTTAGGTGTGTCTGAGATATCCCCTGATTTCTGAGGGCTGTTACAGAGACAGTGTAGGATGGTAGTGGAGGACTCTGGAATCAGACACAATTGAGCCACTTTACTAGTATGGGAACTTGGACAAGGGACCTAACCTCTCTACTACTCAAATTCCCACCTGTAAATTGAGAAAAACACCTACCTCGTAGGGGGTTGTAGAGATTAAATACGATAATAAATATAACCTTACACAGTTCCTGGCATGTGATGACCCCCTACTAATGGTAGCTGGTTATTGGTACTGGTATTATATTAACATTATTCTGCCACATGGCCCCATTTTTCTTCTATCAAAATAATTTGGTGGATATGTACATGCAAAAGAATGAAGTTGGATCCATATCTCACATCATATACAAAAGTTAACTCAAAATGGATCAAAGACCAAAATGTAAGAGCCAAAACTATAAAACTCTTAAAAGAAGATAAATCTTCATGACTTTGGATTAAATAATAATTTCTCAGATATGACACCAAAGATACAAGTAACAGAAGAAAAAATAGATCAATTGGGTGTCATCAAAACTAAAAACTTTGGTGCTTCAAAGGACAACATCAAGAAAACGAAAATACATCCAGAATATGAGAAATTTTTGCAAATCATATAATGATGAGAAACTTGTATCTAGAATATATAACTCAATGATAAAAAAGACAAATCACCCAATTAAAAATGGGCAACCGGGCATGGTGGCTCACACCTCTAATCCCAGAACTTTGGGAGGCCGAGGCAGGAGGATAATGAGGTCAAGAGATCGAGACCATCCTGGCCAACATGTTGAAACCCCGTCTCCCCTAAAAATACAAAAATTAGCTGAGCATGGGGGCACACGCCTGTAGTCCCAGCTACTCGGGAGGCTGAGGCAGGAGAATCGCTTGAACCCAGGAGGCAGAGGTTGCAGTGAGCCAAGATTGTGCCTCTGCACTCCAGTCTGGCAACAGAGTGAGACTCCGTCTCAAAAAAAAAAAAAGGGGGGGGCAAAGGACCTGAATAGATATGTATGCAGAGAAGATCTACAAATGATTAATAAGCACATGAAAAGACATTCAGCATCGTTAGACTTCAGGAAAATGCACATTAAAACCGCAATAAGATACTACTTCACAGCTACTCAGATGGCTATAATAACAAAAAATGGAAAATAACAACTGTTGGTGAGGATGTGGAGAAATTGGAACCTTTACTGCTGATGGGAGTGTAAAATGGAAAACAGTTTGGGCTGCAGTCTGGTAGTTTCTTAAAAAGTTAAACATAGAGTTACTATATGACATAGCAATTCTACTCCTGTATATGTGCCCAAGAAAGATGAAAACTTATGTTCACACAACACTTGTATGTGAATTTTCATACCAGCATTCTGTGTAATAGCCAAAAAGTAGAAACAATCCAAACATCTGTCAAATGATATGTGGCATATCCATACAATGGAGTATTATTCAGCAATAAAGAGAAATGAAGTACTGATTTATGCTACAACATGGATGAACCTTGGAAACACGGTAAATGAAAGAAGCCAGTCACAAAGGACCACATGTTGTTGATTCTATTTATAAAATGTCCAGAATAGGCAAATCTATAGAGACACAAATAGAATAGTAGTTGTCTGGAACTGGGAGGGATAGGGATTTGTAGGGTAATAGCTAATGGGCATGGGTTTCTTTTTAGGGGATAATGAAATATTCTAAAATTGAATATGGGGCTTGGTATGGTTGCCTATGCCCATAATCTTAGCACTTTGGCAGGTTGAGACAGGAAGATCACTTCCCTTGAGTCCAGGATTTCGAGACCAGCTTAAGCAACATAGAGAGACCCTGTATTTACAAAAAAAAAAAAAAAAAAAAAAAATTCTTTTAAATAGCCAGGTGTGGTGGCATGTGCCTGTAGTCCCAGCTTCTCTGGAGGCTGAGGTGGGAGGATTGCTTGAGCCCGGGAGGCCAAGGTTGCAGTGAGCTATGATCACACCACTGCACCCCAGCCTGGGTGACAGAGTGAGACCCTCCCTCAAAAATAAAATACTTAAAAATTAAAAACAAAAATGATTGTGGTGATGGTTCAACAACTCTGTGAATATACTATGAGCCACTGAATTGTGTTCTTTAAATTGGTGATTTATGTGATATGCAAATCTTATCTCAATAAGCTGTTAAAAACAGTTTAAGGTTAAAAGATAATTGATCCGATATGGCCCTATCTGCTCCGTCCATCTGTCTATTTGTCTTCCCATCCATTTTATCCATTCATCCATGCACCCAACAGCCTGTCCACTCTTCCTTCCTTCAACCCATTCATTTGGCCATTTACCTTTCCTTCTGTCCTCCCAACTCATCCCATGCCATTTTGCCTTCCTCCCTCACTCTGTCAATCCAAAACAAAAAACAAAATACAAAAAAAAACTTGATTTGCTGCTCATCTGCTAAAGTTTAGTCTGTACTAGTCATCATGTAAGTCTCTGCTTTTCATCATGCTAGTTTGGCATTTCCAGTGTCCTTGTGACTTGCCACTTAGCATAAGATGAGTTTTCCAAGCTCTCCAGAGGAAATGCTCTTTATCAATCCATCCAGTAAACAGATGGATGCATAGATGTGGGGAGTTTGATACATAGCCAGCGTCTTGCTGAAATGGCAGGAACATCCAGGTTGCATCTCACCTGAGAGAAGTCCTCAAAATGGTGTGCAGAAAATTTGGGGTTTGTTGTTTGCTATGACATCTCAGTGTTAAATGTGCATGACACTCACTCTTTCCTCCTTTCAGTGGCGCAGTGCAGGTTTGATGCCTGGTAGCTGCATTCCCCATTATTAACACAATGTTGAGTGATTTCAAGGTTGACCTGGTTCAAAACAACTTTCTTAATGAGACCGTTCCCCTTTGTGTCATCGTTAGTATGATGTCAGTTCTTCCCTTGCCCAACCTCCAGTACAGTTGTTTCCTAACTTTATTGCCCATCAGAGTCACCTGGAAAGATTATTTAAAATGCAGAGTCCTGAGCTCCTGCCTTTAAGAGATTCTGATTCAGTGGGTCTAGGGTAGCATCCAGGAACCAGTGTTTTAAGGAGCACCCCTAGTGACTCTTGATTGGAATGTTCCTTGTACTACCCTGAGATACTCTACCATAATTGATCTGTTAATGCCAGCATTAGTTAACAGTATGGGAGACTTCTAATTTCCCTGCCTGGCTAGTGCTCATTTCTTCAAGCCTGGAAGTGTTAATCCATGGCTAAGAAGAAGCCATTACTATTCTGTGTATCTCCGACTGAGTTAGTGGGTAGATTATAGTGCTTTGAGAGTTTCGAAGGTGGCAAGAACTCAGCAGCCCTAGGCAACTCTCATATATCCAGTGATGTAGATACTACAAACTAACTTATCCAAATAATCAGTGTCTGGGGTTAGAAACATACTGTTTGATATTAGATTTTTGCCCTTCTTCATTTTTCTTGGCTTAATAAGAAAACTTTTTGGAGACAAGAGGGAGTGGCCTTATGAAGAGAATTGTTTGGGGCTAAGGGGTGAAATTAGATGTTAGTTGTAATGAAAACTCTTCTCTGACCACAGAATACTGAGTTCTGACTCCAATAAGCTGAGTATTGGGCTTTAAAATGCCTCTAGATCTGCACACAACTCAAGATGCTATGTGGACACAGTTTTTTTTTTCTGATGAAGGTATAAACCCATCAGAACACTAAATTCCTCACCATCAAAATGTCTTTGCCAAAGCCCTAACATGGAACTGTATTCAAAACATGCGTGCGTGTAACCCCCGCACTCCGCCCCCCACTGCCCCCCACACACGCACCCCTTTAGGCTAATGTTAGCCAGCTTTGTTATTTGGGATTTTGAAGTACAAACAAGGAAATGGGAGGCTTAAACTAAATTTCAGCTGGACCTGAGGGAGAAAATACTGCAATAGCATCTTGCCTTAGGTGGACACGATTATGGTTTGCAAAGCACATTTATTTGCATTATAGTCCTATGATATAGATTGAACTAGAATTCAAGTTAAATGACCTGCCAAACCCACCTAGGTAGTAAATGGCAGAGCTGATTTTTGAGCCCATGTCATCTAGCTGCTGCTTCAGTGCTATTTTCACTACATCACACTACTAAGAAAATGCTGGGGTTTTACGAGTTATCTGGCTGGATTTAATAACTGAAAGGAACCTTACCTTGTTCTTTAGGGTACGAATTATGAGCTACTGAATACTGTATGAAAAGAACTGTGTAAATGTTTGTGACATGGTGTCAGTGATTAGTGTATGTGTTTTCGGGAAGAATTGAATGTCCATATAGTGGGGCAGGAAAATCTCAGCACTTGTCTTCCTATTAGTATCTCTTTTAGGAAGACTCCCAGGAACATATAACACACATATAGTAAAATGCACAAGTGTTAAATGTGCCGAATGATCAGTTTTTAAAATTGAAGACACCTGTTTAGTCAGTACCCAGCATCCTGGAAGTTACTCCTTGTGATCCCTTTTAGTTGTAATCCCCTTTAGAGTAACCAATACCCTGTTATCTATTAGGTTGGTACGCAAGTAATTGCAGTTTTTGCCATTAATTTTAATAGCAAAAACAGCAATTACTGTGCACCAACCTAATAACAATATAGATTAAATTTTGCCTATGTTTGAACTTTATTTAAATAGAATAATAAGGTACTAGCAGTTCTGCTATAATGCTTGTTTTGAAAATGCAAATTTCCATTATGATTGATGCATTAGAGAACAATTCAAGCATAACGCAATTTAGTGTTTGCTTATATGCAATTTTGTCCTCAGGAAATTCTAAGTGAATGCAGAAAACTTCACTCAGCGAAACTGAGCCCAGTAGGGACACACAGCATGCACATACGCGTACCTCATATATCTACCAGCCACCTGGGTTGATTGTGTTATGAGACACACCCATCCACATCTAGTGTTACACATTCCATCCAATCGTAGGCAATGCTGCTTCTGCCATGTCACAATAACTTGCAAGCTGCAACCCTTCTTACACCCTCTTCCACAAGCAAACTTCAGGTCTTTTTCAACATAAAATCTTATTTATTCTAGTATGTATGCAGTTCTTAACAATTTTACATGTGTAAAACTGTGCTTCCATTTTTATTAGATTTCTGTATTTTTTTAAATTTGTCACTGCCAAAGTTTTGAATGTTTTGTTCCTAACCCTGTCTTTCCCATAAGCCCTATGATTTTAGTTGCATGCGTTTGCATATTGCGTTACTTTTGAGGAACACATCCATCACATTAAAGCAGAAGGGACTGTATTTCTCTTTTGTGTCTGGCTCCTTTTGAGATTATGTTTGAAAGATTTATCATTGTTATGTATAGCAATAGTTCATTCATTTTCATTGCTGTACAGTATTTCGTTGTGTGAACATACCACAATTCATGTATCTATTCAACTGATGATGGACTTGTAGATTGTTTTTAGATTGAGACTGTTAAAAACCTTGTACATATTTCTGTTGAGTATATACTCAGGAAATTGCTGGGTCTTATAATATGTGTATGTTCAGCTTCAGTAGAAGTGGCCAGTTTTCCAGTGGGGTTGCACCAATTTATTGTCTCACAAGAGTGCATGAGGAACCTAGTGGCCTCAAATCCTTTCCAAAACTTGTAACTGTCTTTTTAATTTTAGCTATTCTGATAGGTGTGTTTGGCATCTCATCATGATTTTAATTTGCATTTCCTTGATGACTAAAGTTTAAGTATCTTTGCAATGTTTATTAGCCATCTGTATACTCTTTTCTGTGAAATGTCTTTAGAAGTCTTTTGGCCATTTAAAAATAATTGAGTTGATTGGCTTTTTCTTCTCGATTTATAGGCATATATTCTGGGTAAGAATTTTTTGTTGGTTTTATATGTTGTAAATATGTTCTCCCACTCTGTGGCTTCCATTTTTTACTCTTTTAATGATGTTTTCTGAGGGACAAGGTTTTTACTTTTCAAGTCCTATTTATCAGTGAGTTCCTTCATTGTTAGTACTTTCTATGTTCTGATTAGGAAATACTTGCTTACCCCAAGCTCATGAAGATATTGCTCTATGTTATCTTCTATTAGTAGAAGCTTTACTTTTTTAATTTCCCTATTTACATCTACAATATGTTTAGTATTAATTTTGTGTATAATGTGCGATAAGGATCAATTTTTTTTGGTCTGTTTGGATATTTAATTGACCCAGCAACATTCATTGAAAAAACCATTGTATCCCCCACAGATGTGTACTACAGCCTTTGTCATAAATCAAATGTCCATGGTCTGTTTGCCTCTTGCTGGGCCAATACTGCACTATCTTAAATCTTGTTGCTGTGAATGTAATTCCTTAATCTTCATTCTTCAAAATTGTCTTGGATACACTTAAATTTTTTACTTCGGAAACATCTTGTCAGTTTCTACAAAAAAATTTAACTTGGTTGGCTTTAGATTGGAATTACATTGAATGTGTATATAAATTTGTTAAGAATTGACATCTCTACAATATTGGTACATCCCTTGATTTATTTAGGCAACAAATATAAAACTCATAGTCAGTGTTAGTCTTTGATTAATCACAAATGAAATGATTATTTATATAGGTGGGGAAGTATCTTATGTATTCCAAAATGTTCTGGAACATACCATGCGTCCAGAGGGTGAATCATTCCTTCCTCTTTTGTAAGGCATCATGGTAATCATGTCAGTTGAAGTTGGAGATGCAGAGATGGAGGAGATCATGATTTAGCACTGGTCAATGAATCTTTTGCAGATTTTGTGTGAACGACCTGGCTGCAGAGAGTGGCATTTGCGTTGTCTTTCAGTAGATTCATTTTTTTTTTTTTAACCACCAGACAACTTTGTTGGAAGAGAAAAAGGAACATCTTATTCAATTTAATAGACAGAATTTAAATACAAAAGAGCTAATTGCAGAAGCATCTGGAAACATTACACAGATGAGCCAGTGGTGTTTAGAGGTGGTGGAAAATGATATATTCATATGCCAAGAATTAAGATGTGATATTTTTGAAATTTTTATTTTATGGAGAAATTTCTTTTTTTTTCTGTTTTAAGATCTGTAGCTTAAAAGATGGATATTCTGAAGAATTATTTAGAAATTTGGAGGTCCTCTGGCCCACCTCTCTCCCAAAGCAGCACACTGATTCCAGTATACTTTGCAGAAGCCATAGAATTGTAGATAGTTAGATCCAAAAAGATGTTGGAGGAGAGACTCTGGCCTAACCCTCCCATTTTGGAAAAGACACTGAGGTCTAGAGAGGTAACATTACTTGTATACAACCAGGACTAGAGGCCAAGTCTCCTGACTCTCAGACCAATGCTCATTTCAAGAGTTCAGCATTTCTCAAAGTATTCTCAAAGTATAATCCAAAGAAATAGTAATCATTTTGGGAGAGTGAAGTGCGTCATCTAAGAAGAAGTAGCCTTGGGCTGGATGCTTTGACTCATGCCTGTAATCCCAGCACTTTGGGAGGCCAACGCAGGCGGATCACCTGAGGTCAGGAGTTCGAGACCAGCCTGGCCAACATGGTGAAATCCCGTCTCTACTAAAAATATAAAAATTAGCTAGGCGTGGTGGTGGGCGCCCATAATCTCAGCTACTTAGGAGTCTGAGGCAGGATAATTGCTTGAACGTGGGAGGCAGAGGTTGTGGGAAGCTGAGATCATGCCACTGCACTCCAGTCTGAGTGACAAAGCAAGACTCCATCTCAAAAAAAAAAAAAAAAAAAAAAAAAGTAATAGTAGTCTTGGGAGAGTGGAGTGATCAATCTAAAAGGGGATCCTTGGCAAAATTAGTTTGGGAACTTTTGCATAGCATGTCTTCTTTTGGAAATTTATGGTATACATTGGCACTTTTGCCATATAGTAAGGAGAGTTATTTAATTTTAATTCGGTCTTTTCTAAACATTTAACCATGGACCACTTTTTGCACAGAACAACTTGTTATAAGACCTGGGGCACTCCGGGAAACCTGCAGTAGGTGATGTGGGTCTGCCTGACAGCCTTTGCCGCTGGTAAGGGCTCTCCTTGTAACTTCCACTTACTGCGCATGGCCGTGTCCTCTGGAGTGGTCATTTGGAGGTAGGGTTTCTCTCACATTTACTAATTGCACTTGCCTGGGCCTTTAATATATTTAAAGTTAATATATTTAGTTAATATATTTAGTCCTCACAAAATTTTCTAGAAAGGTGGTTAGTATAATCTCTGCTTTATAGATGAGGAAACAAAGAATCCAAGAGGTTACACAACTTGTTCAAGGCCACCCAGCCTAGCGGACGGGACAGGCTTGCCGTCACACCTAGCTGCCTCCCTACCAGATACTACCTTCCTTATTATGGAGACACCACCATTTGTTGCTGTACTTTTTATGAAATCCACTTTATTTAGGTATATATATTTTTTTGAGACGGAGTCTCTCTCTGTCGCCCAGGCTGAAGTTCGGTGGCACGATCTCAGCTCACTGCAAGCTCTGCCCCCCGGGTTCACGCCATTCTCCTGCCTCAGCCTCCTGAGTAGCTGGGACTACAGGCGCCTACCACCACACCTTGCTAATTTTTTGTATTTTTTAGTAGAGATGGGGTTTCACCATGTTAGCCAGGAAGGTATAATTTTTATACAGTAAAATGCAGTCCCTTTATCGCAAGTACTGGATAGTATTCAACACATTTTGACAAGTTGATATACCTGTGCAGTTGCTGCCACCATCAAGCTATGAAGCAATTAACGTGGTTGGGTTCGCACTGCGAGGTGTATGCTTTCTTTCTCAGTTCTGTCCTCAAAGCTTTTGCTGTGTTGCTGTGGGTCTGCTTTGTGCCACTCAAGGTTTAGTCTGGGACTCGATCATGCTTGAAATGTTAGTTCAGTTGCCCAGGCCTTCCTGATACCAGTTTGGGTCCCTCCTGTGCAGCTGAGGCCTGCATCTGAGACTTGTAGTGGTTCATGCACTGGAAACCCCTTACCCAGCTCACTCTCTTTCAGGGTTCCCTATACGCTCTCTAGCCCACAGGGCCCCCTTTTTTTGATCACTTTGGCCAGAAAGATCAGATTTCCATCAGGAGTTTAGCCTCCCTGTTGCTGCTTCACCCTGCAGTTCTGCAACTGGGACCTGCCCTCCCAGCTCAGCTGAGAGATAAAAGAGGAAAAAGATAATGGGAAACTCACCCCCGTGCTTCAGCAAGTTTTGAGTCCTCCAAAATCTGCTGACTGTGTTTGCTTTTTTGAGTACTCTGGTAGTTGCTTTGTATACTTTGCACGGAGTTTTTCATGTAAGTAGTGGGAGATCATAGTGGAACCAGAAGTCTCTGTTTACTTTTAAATATGTTTGGTTTTTGTTACAAGAGACTTCTAAGCAGCTGGACTTTAAGGCCTATTTTTAAAAACTCCTGAGAATAAAAGGGACTATGCATATTATTATACTAAAGCAGAAAAAAATATTTACAAACTCCTAGCCTGAACCTCTTGCGCTGGCAGGATAAGTTCCTGTTTTCTAATCTCCAAAGGAATGAATGAATGTTCTCACCACTGTGTGCTCTATTCTAATCCTTTTAGGCCTAATGAAGAGGCTGTGAACATATCCCTGAGCCCTAGGATTAAAAGTCAAGACAAAAGCCCGTAAGACAAGAAGACACTGAATCCTATTTCTTGCTTTTATGAAAATTACAATATCTCTTGGAAAGAAAAACTGTGTTTCTTTTGCCAATATTTTTTATCACACTAAGGAAAATTTGAAAATAACAGAAATGGAAGAAAATAACCTATAATCCCATAACCCAGAAATAATCACTGCTAACATTTTCTCTTAGCTTACAGATCTTGCAGAAATACATCTTTATCTTCTGTTTACAATTTTACTACAGTATTAACTATGGAGTATAAAAATGATTATGAACTGAAACTCTAGATATTTTATATAAAAATCTTCTCATTGTATATTTAAAATAATTCTGAGAAATTAATGGCTAGTTGGCAATAAATGAAGATCCGTAATTTGTTCATTATTTTAAAATAAAAAACATTAGCATCCCCAGCTATTCCAATTTTGAGTAAAATTATTCACTCAAATCTTTAAAGAAAAAAGAGATGCAAGTAATGGATGATTTCTTCCCACTGTATTAGCCTCCTTGAACTGCTGTGGCAAAGACCACAAACTAGAGAGTTTAGGTAACAGAAATTTATTCTCTCCCAGTTCTGGAGGCTTGAAGTCCATAATCCAAGCGTCAGAAGCGCATTCTCTCTTCGAGACTTGGTAGAATCCTGCCTTGACTCTCCCTTGCGCTTTTCATGTTCCTTGGATTGTAGCTACATCACTCCTATCTGTCTCCTGTCTGTCTTTTCTTCTGATGAGGACACCAGTCTTAATTAGTTTTAGGGCCTATCTTCATTGAATGTGACCTCATTTAACTTCATTACATCTGCAAAGATCCCACTTCCAAATCATTACATTCTGAGGTACTAAGAGTGATGACTTCTACATACCTTTCGGGGGACACAATTCAACCCATAAGACCTATTATTTGGTCCTTTTCCCCATTCCACTGGGGACATTTTTCCTCCAGCCAGGATGCCTATCTCTCCACTGTAACCAGCAGAGCTGCCTCAGACAGAAATGTCATATGGCACGTTAGGGGGAGTTGCCTTATGCGGTACCCTGGCCGCCATCCTCCCTGCTTCCCACCGCCCCCAGCCCTGTAAACCTGTCCACTCCTTTTCTACCCCCACCCCTTATCCTGATATCTCTGGCAAGGAGTTAGAACCTTACCAGAGCTGAGGGCATCTTTCTGGTTTTCACAAGAACAAAAAGCCGAGGGTAAATGTGAAACTATGTGGAGGAAACAGATTTCTCTTCTTAAATTTCCAGATTCAGAAACAATTATTGAACATCTGTTATGCCTGGGCACTGGGCCAGTTTCCTTTAATCTGTGTAAAATCATTTACTTAAAATGCTATACAACTTTTATTGCTGAGGAGACAGTTTTAGCTAGGTCAAGTCACATAGTAGGTACATTTCAGAGTGGGGCTTTAAATCTGCAATGGCAGCCTGAAGGTAGAAAAATTGTAGTAAAGAGTCTGGCTCCGTTTTTGGTGCTTAACTACTGACAGCTTTCAAGCCCCACCCCTCTGTTTTCTTGTGTCCCACCTCTGGGTAAGCCTGTAAGAAAACAGACCTGGCCCTTTCCTGGGTGCTGGCAGGAAGTTCAAACCAAACAAACCCAACCACTGGTCTGACCCTCACCACAGTTAAAACCAAAGCCACTTGCCTTTCCCTTTGTTTAAGCTGGTTTGGAATGGCTTGGATCTCTGCTATCTCCAGAAAGCCACATTATATGAGTAATAACCTTTTCAGACCCTCCTGGTGCAGTATGATGTAATCAGTCTCAATGTCTGAGCCAATTTTGCATGGAGAATCTGTGTAACATCCACAGATAAAAGTAAGGAAATTGAGTGCTGCCTCACTGATCCTCAGAGGCCTAGTATGAACATATAGTCAGCATACGTTCAGCTGACGGAGACTTGAAGCCATGCATTTATTGTTGAGGTCCTTTCTCCCCAGCAGTGTACTTGGTGAGGACAGTGATGGAGACAAGGTTCTTTCCGTCTTTGCAGTATTTGTTTCTTCTCTTCTGCTGTTGCACAGGTCTGAGTTCTTTACTCATTGGTGGAGGTCTTAAATTTTTTCCTCCGTATCCAATCTGCTTATTCAGTGCTATTTGGTTATTATCCCAAGACCCTAAATTTATATACACTTACTGTTAAAGCCCCACAAGCTGATTGATTATGCACAACACGCATTCTCCAGAACATGCATTTTCCAGCAGTTACTGTTTTCCCCCAGGTGAAGATTTATTTGTCCTATAGAGAAATGAGTGGCTGTATGTATGCATGTGTGTTACTACATAATGCAGGATTAATTTGAAAATTGCATGGAGGTCTGAATGTGCATTATGCAAAATGCAAAAGCTGGTTGTATTATGAGCATTTGAGTTAACATGCCTGCATACAGAAATGTTCAGGGAATTTGTGGTTCAGTTCAAGTGACACCAGGATTGAGCCTTTTAAAAACAGACCATTCCCAGAATAATGATTCTATAATTTATTCAGAGTCAGACATCTAGTACTGCTGAATTTTGTGTTAAATAACCCAATTGGTATATATGAAAATAGCTTCCTTGGAATCAGCCCAACTGTATAATCTTGGCCTCGGCAAATACTTAAAGAGGGTAGAGGGGATGTTTAGCATACATTTGGCTATATATTCAACTCTGGTAAGTAATAGAGGGGAATTATTCTCAGATACATGGCTGTCTTCAGATGGTGTTTGGAATCTCATTCTGGCTCCCCTCTGACCACTCAGCACACCCAGGATCCCCTTTTACTTTCTTTGTCTAAGTGAGCTAGGAATAGAGACTCATTTTCATGATTTTTCTAAGCATGGCATAATTGCCACGGGAAATTGGCATGGCTTCACAAAATAAGCCGTGGCTTCACATTGGCTCCTAAAGAGTAGGCTGGAGAGGCCTGAGTGGGTCAGACCAAGGTAACCCTGGCACAGTGCTGGTCACACAGAATACAGCAGTGATTGGTAGTGTTGGGACCTAACATCACCATGACTAACACAGACCTATATGACCCTCAGATAGCAGAGTAATGCAGTATTGCTCCCAGTGTGAGGATGGGCTGCGTGCAGCCATGACACTGTTCACACTGTGTCTCCCTAAAGGTTTTATGTCATCTCTGGCAGGAGCCACATGGAGATCAGAGTCGAGAATGACCTTGACCTGTCCTATGTGTTGTCAACTCTCATGTCCCACTTACGGGTAATGGGAAAGCAGAATGTTGGAGTGTTGGGTTTGGGGATCCAGGTCAGCATGACAGAAATCATGCTACCGACAGAGCCAACAATGCTGAAGGGGTCATAGGTTTATAGGGCAGCAGCTTCTTTGGAAGTTAAAAGCAATAAAACCACAAGGCACTTATGCAAGGAGAGTATCTTCAGGGTTTGTGTCTCCATACCTGCATAGGCTACTCATATCATTTAGCATCAGAAATGTGCTTGTTCAGTGACAAGTGTTAGGCTTCAGGAAAGCTTTTTGGATTTATAGTTGTGAGATGTCAAAGAACATTCTTGTCAGAGTTTTTCCCCTGCCTCCCCAGTAGAAAGGGAAAGAAACCTGTTCATCTTGCCTATATGGCATGATGCTGAGGACTGGGATATTGAACATGACTCGGAAACAGCTCAAGTTTGCTGCTTGAGATTTGGGTTTTTCATTATTTCCCATTCTTGAATCCTGTTGAATAAATAGAGAATCAGATGGCTCCTATTCTCATAATGGTTTTGTGAGTAGGGATTGATAATCCTGGTTTTAAAGATGAGAAAACAAGAGGCTCAGAGAAGTTGGTTTACAGAGCTAACAAGTGATGGAGCTCAGGACTCCTGAGTCCAAGAGCAGGGCTCTTTTCTGTGGCTGGGAGTTCTGGCTCCTAAAACTGGCCCCAACTGTGGAGGATAGGACATCTTACTCCTTTCTTCTTTGTGTTTCTGAATCCTAGAGAGTGTGCTGAAATAGAATTTTCAAAAATTCATTTGTAAAGGTCACCCTTAAAAAGGGTTGAACTATAGGTGCATTCTCGGGAGCATAGTCTGATTATTTTTTCTTTTCATTAAAAGAGCAAACATAATACAAGGGCCTTTTGTTTGCAGCTTTGGAATTTAGCCAATTATAAATACATTTAAGGGGATTCGGATCCAACTCAAGCTCTTAATCAGAGCATTTGGAAGCTCTTGGATAGAAGGTATATTTAATCTCTTTCTAGGTCAGCTGGATATCCCTGCATAGCTATTAGTTTAGACAAGACAAGCTTTGGAGCCCTTCTTTGCTTATAATGTGTTGTGGGTGATGTTTGGGAGTGAGCTAGAGGCACATGGACCTGAGGCAGGCCTATAATTTATGAATTTATTTGCTTCATGGCATACTCCTTCCTTAGTTTGTCCATGAGGGGCAAATATAATTTTTAACATATTCTCATATTATAAATTTAGTAAGGGAAAGAGAAGACTCATCAGCTATATGAAATTTCACTTTTTAAATATATTGGAAAGCTGTAGATAATTGCCAGGAGCCACACAATCTCATCCCTAGGGGGAGAGAGGAACCAGCTCAGAATGGAGCCTGGAGTAATTGTGACTCTGATCACAGGAGAAAGAGAACACTTGGTAAGAATTCCTCTAGTTGAATCTCCATAAAGGCTGAAACCCCCAAAGTTCTGGGTCTGTCTTCTGTGCATGGCAAATGCCCCTACTCATCTCTCCAGACTCAGCAGAATTATTGCCTCTCCACAGGGGCAGTGATCAGCCTCTGGTCTACAGTTGGGAGTTAGATGGCATATCTGTCAAGATCCAGTCTGGAAAACAGAGACTATACTAGGTATTTAAGCAGCAGGGATTTGATATGGGGAATTACACAAGTATTAGAAAGCTGAAAGAGCAAAAAGGGACACTGAGGCATCCCAGATATGAGTAACTGTAGAAAGCAGTTACTGCCCCTAGGGTTGGGAAACACAAGGGAAGAAGTGCATCACTAGAATCTAAGATCTCAGAGAAGAGGCCCCTGGCAGCTGTGCTTAGGCCTCTGAAGGGTACCCTGCGGCTTACGATGGAACCTCAGAGCAGGGGGACTGCGCAGCCAGCTCTCAGACCCCAAGGGAGGTGAGTGCTGTTGAGGTTGAGAGTGTCGGTAGAAGCTGGAGGCTGGACCCACTGCTGCCTTCTAGGGCTGGAGGGACATTGACAAGAACTGGAAATAGGAAGGAAGTTCAGTTGTCCTCTTCTCCTGCTACACTGCAATAGGAATTGCTCAGAATTGAGATGCAAAACAAGCATAGTCATAGGGCCTAGACCATCCCAGAGAGGATCATGGAAAACCTGGGCATCCAAGTAAGTAAAGCAGCCCTGGTGGCCTCTAGGCCAGGGCTTGGTTGTCAGTAAGGGCAACCCAGGAAAGGGGCTAATGGAGCTGGAGGTGGGGGCCCACAGGAGCCCTGAGTCCTGACCTTGAGAGGCCCAGAAATGGTGTGGCTGAGGCTAATTCATCATCCATCCTGACTGACTCTGAACTGAAGGAAAGCCTAGCTGTCAAGAGCTGGAGGAAGTAATTGGAATAGATGCTGGATACACATCAGCCACTCTATCATGACATTTCCAAGAGAGAAGTCTCAATGAGAAAAGCCTTGCCCACCCCAAGTAGTATTAAATGGGTGGGTGGATGGGATGATAGATGGAATAGAGGGGATTGGAAGAGAGAGAACAGGGAGTAGAGATAGGAATAAAGGAAGGAAGGAAAGAAAGAATGGAGGAATCAAAACAAATTCTTATCTCTAGCTCTCTAGCCGAAGGGTCTTAAGAGTGAAAATAGAAGTAGCATACAGCCTTTCCTGTAGGTGGTGGCTCACTATGAACCCCTTGCAGAGATTATGATGCCAGTAGTAAGGAAGTTGGTTTTGATTTCCTCGCTTAATAAAGATTCAGAAACAGTGAAATTTGAGCTGCTACAGAGGGCAGAACCCGGGGCCCACTGTGTTCTTTGAGCACAGAGCCCAGCGTGTGAGCACCTGGAGACATCAAGGTGCCCGGCCATTGTAAACTGCTCCCAGCCAAGCAGGCAGTCCCAGGCCTGGCCCTGCCTATGGAGGCTCCCGCAACTCAGTGCCCTTGCCTGTGCCCTCCAAGGGGGCTGCAGAACACCCTTCAGGCTGGTGCAGTATTAACTGCCTCACTCGTGTAGATCTATAAGAAAAAGGCAGCAGCCTGTAAGAAGAATGGGGAAAGGGTACAGAGAGTTCTCAGAAAAAGGAAATGCAAATGTCTCTGAAGCAAATGAGAAGACACTCAACCTCACTCTGCAAAAGAGAAATGCAAATTGAAAGTAGGACAAGGTACTACACCAGGTTGGCATAGATCAAAAATTTTACCTCATAGATTCCTGTAGAAGTATAAAGTGCCAGCTCCTCTAGAGAGAGCAGTTTGGCAGTATCTCTCAAAAGTGACCCGGCAGTTCCACTTCTAGGACTTTGACATCCAGACATAATTTCACACATGTGAAATGAAATATACAAGGATATCCATTGTAATAGCAAAAGATTGGAATAGACATAAATGTCCACTGGAGGCCACCAGGTGAATCACTTACGGCATATCCATTCTGCAGAATTCTACTAAGCCATTAGAAAGATCAAAACAGCTTTATACATACATACATACATACATACATGGGACAATTCCCAAGATATAGAACCTTAAAAAATAGGAAGGAACAGTGTGTGTAGTACTTAGGTTCAAAAACAATACATATTTTAGAATGAAAAGTCAACTACCAGCTGGGTGCAGTGGCTCACACCTGTAATCCCAGCACTTTGGGAGGCTGAGGCCGGCAGATAGCTTGAGCCCAGGAGTTTGAGACCAGCCTTGGCAAAAAATCATACAAAAGTTATCTGGATGTGATGGTGCATCCCTGTGCTCCCAGCTACTTGGGGGAGAGGGGTGCTGAGGTGGGAGAATTGCTTGAGCCTAAGAAGTTGAGGCTGTAGTGAGCTGAGATCGCACCACTGCATTCCAGCCTGGGTGACAGAGCGAGACCCTGTCTCAAAAAAAAAAAAAAAAAGTTAAATACCATTTAATGTGTATGTTTCTGTGTACATACAATATTTGTGGGAGGATAAACAAGGAAATGGGAACAGGAGATGCCTATAGGGGGAGGAACTGAGGGATTAGACAGAGGAGTGAGGGGAGATTTCCTTTTCCCTGCCTACCCTTTGGTACCTTTTGTATTTTATATTATGCATTATCTGGTCAAAAAGAGATTAAATTTTTTGAAAAAAATCTTAGTCATGCTGGAGGCCAGAGCAGCTGAGGTGCTGGGGCAGGAGCTGGAGGGCAGACCTTCTGCTTGTTGAGGGAGGGTCTTCATGGAGGATGGAAACCACCAGAAGGTGTGCCTGTGACAGTGGAATAGTGTGACGGGAATAGTGTGACAGTGGAATACTGTGATGGGAATAGTGTGACAGTGGAATAGTGTGACGGGAATAGTGTGATGGGAATAGTGTGACGGGAATAGTGTGATGGGAATAGTGTGACAGCAGAATAGTGTGACGGGAATAGTGTGATGGAATAGTGTGACGGTGGAATAGTGTGACGGGAGTAGTGTGACAGGAATAGTGTGACAGCAGAATAGTGTGACAGCAGAATAGTGTGATGGGAATAGTGTGACAGTGGAATAGTGTGACAGCAGAATAGTGTGATGGCGGAATAGTGTGATGGGAGTAGTGTGACAGTGGAATAATAGTGAGCCATGGTTGGCCTTTCCCTTCATGCACTGGCGACCAATAGAATCAAGGCAGTCCCCATTTCTACACGTCCTTAGCCCTGTCTGTTCCTGTGTCCTCTCCACCGGCTCTCAGTGTTCTAGAACCCACACCATGAATGCCTGGGTCCCTCCCTCCACTAAACTGTAGCTCTCCAAGGGCAGAAGCCAGTTCTGTCATCCCATGTGCCCTGGCTCTTGGCATAGTGCCCAGCACACAGAAAAGGCATAATAAATGTTGAATGAATCATTCATTAACATCAGGAAACACCCTGGGGTTCTGATTTATTGTTTTACATCAGATTCTTTTCTCCCTACCCCAACTGAAAGGCAGCCTTTTAATCGCTGGTATCCCAGCACTTAGCCTACTGCTCTGTATATAGTAGGAGCTCAATAAGTGTTGAATGATGAGAGTCGCATGATGGTTAGTTTATCTTCAGATCAGATTGTTCCCAGCCAAATGGCAAGAACAGAGCCATATCTTCCCCATGGAATGAGTACAGTGCAGCCCCTAGGAAGGAGGTGGGAGGCTCTGCAATGGGAAGGGTTCCAACAGCCTAGGTCAGTACTCCTCCCAAGGGTGATGTCAGAGATGTACCAGGGGCACAGGGAGGGTACTATCACAGTTCCTTCTTTGGACATCACCTCAAGCTCCAGTTTTTGGGACACGGGAAGAAATTCAGATCTAAGCCATAGGGCTGACCCTTGTAGGCACTACCCCATCACTTTAGAGGAATCAGAGAAAGCCCATTGAAGGAGGCTGGTTCCACGTCCCGAACTGACCCAAAACCAAAGAAGCATCTGGAAACTCTGCAAGGACTCCATCATGTAAATATTGTGCTCTGAGGTCACAAACATAACCAGCCAGAAGCTGCGGCAGCTGAGGCCCCTTCCCCGGAGGCCAACAATTAACCCCATGTAAAGATTACCAGGAAGAGAATAAATAGCTGGGAAAAGTTTCCCAAAGGATCCCAGCCTCCCTGCCACTCCAGCTGCCTGAACAGAAAGCATGGAGGAGGCAGGGAGGGTGCTAATGCCTCATTAGTGATTGTCGCAATCACTGAGATCCTGGCTGTCTTGACTGGCTTCTCCTCTGATCCATGTCAATGGCGCCCTGTTCTGTCTCCTCTGACCCTGTAGACAATTGGTTACTGGTGTTTGATTCTGAGCAGATCAGCCAGTGAAGAGGAAATTCTTCCCTGTGAGCTCCTGCAAAGTGTAGGAAATTTAGGCAGCCCAGTGAGCAGGGCTGCTGTGAGAGGAACTCTTGCTGGAGGTGCAGAGGATACCCATCCCAGCCTGGGCTCGGAGCACCCACCAGGACTTGCCTGTTGTCCTGGGCAGACCTGCCGTTGATTGTGGCAACAGAGGTTCCCTCAGAGCAGGGTCTGTAAGGCACAAAAACGTCTTTCTCTGTAACCGAAGTGGAAAAAATGTATCTGAGTCACTTTATACGTCAGGTAAATATCCTCATGAGTACGTCATTTAAAAATTTGCCATTTCCTCTGACGTTTCCACAGTTTGCTAGAACACTGCCTTCTGCTCCAGTTACAGACAAATGCCCCTCCTCTCCCTGCTTCTGCAGTGGTCTTTTAGCTTATTCCTTGGACTGACTTTCTGGGGGGAGGTAAGGATGATTTGAAGACCTATATTTTATAGGACTGTAACCTCTTAGAATTACAAGGGACCTTTGTAGGGATCATCTGGTCCCGCCTTCTCTCGGAGGCAGATATCTGCAATGGATGCCTTCCTAACAGCTTCCCAAACTGCCCAGATGCTGAGTGATTCCAAACAAAGATGCCCACTTTCTGTTCGGAGGCTCTAAATGTTATATGTTCCTTTTGACAGTAGCCAAAATTCATCTCCTGTCACTTCCATCCATTGGTCTTGGTTCTGCCTTCTAGAGTGACATAGACTAAGTCCATTTCCCTTTCCAGGTGACCTCATGGTCTTTTTCTAGGCTACACTTTTATTTATCTTCATGTCCCCATGTGGAGCCCTTCTAGACCTCCCATAGAAGAGCCCTTCTAGACCTACATAGAGGAAGTGGCGGCTGTGTGACAGTGTCACTTGTACGGCATGGCACCTGGAGCCACTCAGCCTAGCTGGAGTCCACAGTCACGCATGTGCTTTCTCTTACCCTCAGGCTGAGCACACATACCCCCCCCGTCCCCCTGCCCTTTGAGCCTCTTGTTTCCCATGTGGCCTGAGATGACAGCAGCAGTGATCATGGCTCCTCTCCAGGGCCAGGCAGCCGTGCTCATCCCCTGCTCCCCAGTGGCTCCATAGCCTTATGCTCCTGCAGGGGAAGTGGGTCACGCCAGGAAGAGCAGCTATAGCGTGAGACAGCCCAGTGCCTCTCCGCTCACCGTCAGCAGAGAACCCTTGGTCGCCAGGGTTTCCACGTGGGTTTGATGGAGGAAGGGTAGAGATGTGGGGTCTTCTGTATTCCTTTTCTCTGCCCTGAACAGTGATATAAGAGCCCTTGCCCCATCCCCAGGCAGCTCTCATGCTTCTTTAGCAGAGAGGGCCCCCAGACTCCCTGACATCCCAGTGGGCCTCTCCCTGTGATGCCTCTTCCTGGTGCCCAGGACCCCCTAAATGCCCTGTGCTTCCAAGGCATGGCAAACTGCTTCCCCTCCAGGGGCTGGCTGCTGGGGTAGATGTGGACAGCGCCACCACTGTAGCATCTCTGAGCTTGGATGCCTCTACCTGTGTTCCCCACACCCCTTCTTGTACAGGACCTAGGAGATGAGATGCCTTTTCCAAATATCATTTGTAAATGTTGGAGCCACATTTTTTTCCAAACTAATATCAGAACTGTTCTGTGCTCCAGTCAAGTTCTTTTTGAAGAAGGTAGCTCAGGTGGTTAAAATGAGCACTAGTGAGACCAAATCTATGGCCTCAGGAGCCTTCATGAGAAATGGCTCCACAGCCACCTACTGCACCACAGGCACAGCCTGGCCTGCTCTTAGGCAGGAGGACCAGGGGAGACAGTGGGGATGCCTCTGGACAACCTAGTCCACTCCTGGATGAAGAGCAGCAGCTGCTGCTGGAAGATTATGCACAGAAAACTCTTGCTCCACAATACCTCCAGCTTTCAACCAGTCCCAATCTTCAGTGTGTTGATGAGCAAAATAGACTGCAGTCACAGTGGGCACATGGAGGTGAGAACAAAGGCATCTTTGACAGGCAGGAACATTTCCTTCCCCTTCCAGAGCAGTGGCTGGCAATCCTAGCTCATCATCGCTTCTGAGAGCTCTGGGAAGAGCTGCTGTGGCCATGGCTGCTGCCCCCGGGAACTTGGCTTTATCATTCTGTTCTTTGCTCAGAAATTCAAGTCAAGTAATTTAGAATTCTTTATCCAACAACTGCTCTAGGAAAAGAACATGTCAGAAGCATTTGCTGACATCACCTTTGAGATGTTCACGTAGTTTAGGCATCACTCTCTTTCCTTTCCCTTTCAGCTCTTTATGGCATTTTCATTTGGTGGTGGTAGAAGAGTGGGTGTGTGGAGTGCATTCCTGCCCTTCCCTCCCTTGGTAAGTCCAGGTGTTTAGGGCCAGTGTGCGCCAGATGCCTCTTCTCCCAGGCACTTCCACAAGTGTAGAGGATGCCTAGACTGTGGGCACTTCCGTCAATTGACTATGTTGCACAGGCTTGGAAAATGAGGGCCAAATGTACACAGAGGTTGTGGTCTTGATCAGAGGTTTTGCCACAACTATTATTTTTAATGGCCTGAAGCATGGATCTGGCAGTCTTATGAATGGGTACTCTGAAGTCAACCCTGTGTTCCTTCAGTCTCGTCTTTGTTTATTCATTGACCATTTTACCATGCATGCCCTGGTTCTAGGGACGTAGGAAGAAAGAAGGCAAGTTCATAGGCTCTCAGACCGGGTTCTACCTCCCATCAAAGGAGGAATCTCCTCCCTTATGTTCCGGCCCACATGCTGTCCTGCCCCTGCCCAAGGAAGCTCAGTCTCTCGAGCTTTCATTGGGTGTCCAGTGGCCCAAGTGTCCCTTTTCCTCCCAGCATCTACTCTTTCCTCCCAGCCCTGCCCCTGAGGGTGCTCAGACCTCTTGACATCACTCTTCTAAAGTAGACTTTTATATATTTGCAGCAACTATCTTGTCTTCTGCAGAGTCTTATCATTCCCAGGTAGATATAAGTTCATCCATCAACTGCTACTTCCATATCATGTTCCCTCACTTCTGCCACTCCATATTTGTATAGTTGGATTAAAAAACAAAATCTGAGTTCAAGTCCTGGATATCCTTGTTAACCTTCTGTCTCATTGATCTGTCTAATATTGACATTGGGGTGTTCTGTACCAAGCAGACCTAATAGACATCTACAGAACTCTCTACCCCAAATCAACAGAATATACATTCTTCTCAGCACCACACTGCAATTATTCCAAAACTGACCACATAGTTGGAAGTGAAGCACTCCTCAGCAAATGTAAAAGAAGAGAAATCACAACGAACTGTCTCTCAGACCACAGTGCAATCAAATTAGAACTCAGGATTAAGAAACTCACTCAAAACCGCACAACTACATGGAAACTGAACAACTTGCTCCCGAATGACTACTGGGTAAATAACGAAATGAAGGCAGAAGCAAAGATGTTCTTTGAAACCAGTGAGAACAAAGACACAACGTACCAGAATCTCTGGGACACATGTAAAGCAGTGTATAGAGGGAAATTTATAGCACTAAATGCCCACAAGAGAAAGCAGGAAAGATCTAAAATCGACATCCTAACATCACAATTAAAAGAACTAGAGAAGCAAGAGCAAACACATTCAAAAGCTAGCAGAAGGCAAGAAATAACTAAGATCAGAGCAGAACTGAAGGAGATAGAGACACAAAAAACCCTTCAAAAAATCAATGAATCCAGGAGATGGTTTTTTGAAAAGATCAACAAAATTGATAGGCCACTAGCAAGACTAACAAAGAAGAAAACAGAAGAATCAAATAGATGCAATAACAAATGATAAAGGGGATATCACCACTGATTCCACAGAAATACAAACTACCATCAGAGAATACTATAAACACCTCTATGCAAATAAACTAGAAAATCTAGAAGAAATAAATTCCTGATACATACACTCTCCCAAGACTAAACCAGGAAGAAGTTGAATCTCTGAATAGACCAATAACCGGCTCTGAAATTGAGGCAATAATTAATAGCCTCCCAACCAAAAAAAGTCCAGGACCAGACAGATTCACCAGAGGTACAAAAAGGAGCTGGTACCATTCCTTCTGAAACTATTCCAATCAATAGAAAAAGAGGGAATCCCCCCTAACTCATTTTATGAGGCTAGCATCATCCTGATATCAAAGCCTGCCAGAGACACAACAAAAAAAGAGAATTTTAGACCAATATCCCTGATGAACATTGATTTGAAAATCCCCAATAAAATACTGGCAAACCAAATCCAGCAGCACATCAAAAAGCTTCTCCACCACGATCAAGTCAGCTTCATCTCTGGGATGCAAGGCTGGTTCAACGTATGCAAATCAATAAATGTAATCCAGCATATAAACAGAACCAATGACAAAAACCACATGATTATCTCAATAGATGCAGAAAAGGCCTTTGACAAAATTCAACAGCCCTTCATGCCAAAAACTCTCAATAAAATAGGTATTGATGGAATGTATTTCAAAATAATAAGAGCTATTTATGACAAACCCACCACCAATATCATACTGAATGGGCAAAAACTGGAAGCATTTCCTTTGAAAACTGGCACAAGACAGGGGTGCTGTCTGTCACCACTCCTATTCAACATAGTGTTGGAAGTTCTGGCCAGGGCAATCAGGAGAAAGAAATAAAGGGTATTCAATTAGGAAAAGAGGAAGTCAAATTGTCCCTGTTTGCAGAAGACATGATTGTATATTTAGAAAACCCCATTGTCTCAGCCGAAAATCTCCTTAAGCTGATAAGCAACTTCAGCAAAGTCTCAGGATACAAAATCAATGTGCAAAAATCACAGCATTCCTATACACCAATAACAGACAAACAGAGAGCGAAATCATGAGTGAACTCCCATTCACAATTGCTTCAAAGAGAATAAAATACCCAGGAATCCAACTTACAAGGGATGTGAAGGACCCCTTCAAGGAGAACTACAAACCACTGCTCAACGAATTAAAAGGGGACATAAACAAATGGAATAACATTCCATGCTCATGGATAGGAAGAATCAATATTGTGAAAATTGCCATACTGCCCAAGGTAATTTATAGATTCAGTGCCATCCCCATCAAGGTACCAATGACTTTCTTCACAGAATTGGAAAAAACTACTTTAAAGTTCATATGGAACCAAAAAAGAACCCTCATTGCCAAGACAATCCTAAGCCAAAAGAACAAAGCTGGAGGCATCACGCTACCTGACTTCAAACTATAAGACAAGACTACAGTAGCCAAAACAGCATGGTACTGGTACCAAAACAGAGATATAGACCAATGGAACAGAACAGACACCTCAGAAATAACACCACACATCTATAACCATCTGATGTTTGACAAACCCGACAAAAACAAGATATAGGGAAAGGATTCCCTATTTAATAAATGGTGCTGGGAAAACTGGCCAGCCATATGTAGAAAGCTGAAACTGGATCCCTTCCTTACACCTTATACAAACATTAATTCAAGATGGATTAATGACTTAACTGTTAGACCCAAAACCATTAAAAAACCCTAGAAGAAAACCTAGGCAATACCATTCAGGACATAGGCATGGGCAAGGACTTCATGACTAAAACACCAAAAGCAATGGCAACAAAAGCCAAAATTGACAAATGGGATCTAATCAAAGTAAAGAGCTTCTGCACAGCAAAAGAAACTACCATCAGAGTGAACAGGCAACCTACAGAATGGGAGAAAATTTTTGCAATCTACCCATCTGACAAAGGGCTAATATCCAGAATCTACAATGAACTCAAACAAATTTACAAGAAAGAAAAAACCCCATCAAAAAGTGGACAAAGGATAGGAACAGACACTTCTCAAACGAAGACATTTATGCAGCCAACAGACACATGAAAAAATGCTCATCATCACAATGCAAATCAAAACCACAATGAGATACCATCTCACACCAGTTAGAATGACAATCACTAAAAAGTCAGGAAACAACAGATGCTGGAGAGGATGTGGAGAAACAGGAACACTTTTACACTTTTGGTGGGAGTGTAAACTAGTTCAACCATTGTGGAAGACAGTGTGGTGATTCCTCAAGGATCTAGAACTAGAAATACCATTTGACCCAGCCATCCCATTACTGGGTATATACCCAAAGGATTACAAATCATGCTGCTATAAAGACACATGCACACGTATGTTTATTGCGGAACTATTCACAATAGCAAAAACTTGGAACCAACCCAAATGTCCATCAATGATAGACTGGATTAAGAAAAGGTGGCATATGTATACCATGGAATACTATGCAGCCATAAAAAAGGATGAGTTCATGTCCTTTGTAGGGACATGGATGCAGCTGGAAACCATCATTCTGAGCAAACTATCACCGTAAACACCACATGTTCTCACACACAAGGGCCTGTTGGCAGGTGGGTGGCAGGGGGAGGGTAGCATTAGGAGAAATACCTAATGTAAATGACGAGTTAATGGGTGCAGCAAACCAACATGGCACATGTATACATATGTAACAAACCTGCATGTTGTGCACAGGTACTGTAGAACTTAAAGTATAATTTAAAAAAATTTAAAAAATTAATAAAATAAAATCTGCTAAGTTTAGCTGTTTTTATCTTATTCAATTTTAACTTATTAGTGTTAGTTCATCCTCACAGCCTACCTAGTTTTTGGAAATCCTGTCTCTGTTATCTTTGTTGTCACTGAGCCTTTTGTCATCTGCACAATTGGATCCCAGAGCTGTGGAGCTGAACATAAGTTGTAGGGGAGGAGCGTGGTGGCCCCAGAGTTTGCCCTCAGCCTTCGGTGGCACCTTCACATAAGGCCTCAAATGAAGACGCAGACTGCCTATGGCAAGAATCCAGGCTGCCTGTCTGAATGCTAAGCACACAGTAGGTGCTTCATAAATATGGATGTGGGTGAGCGGTTGTCAGGGGTGTCTGACAAGAAGCCTGATTCGTGGTGTGCCATCCCTGTTTCAGGAAAGTGACTTCTGTGAGCTCATTTGCTAGGCAGCGTCCACTGTGTTTTATAGTGTGGTCATGAATTAATAATGCACAACACTCCTAATTAGGCTGGAATAAAAACACAGGTTAAAGAAGAGAAACAGCTGGGGAAGTGTGTTATGACTGTGCAGCCTCTGGCTCCAGGGGCCTGATTTGGGGTATAGCAACCACTGCAGTGGACAGTTTTCTGGAAAGCAGGTCCCCTACCTAGTTGTCCCTGGAGAGAGAAAATATTTGTTTTTTTTCAGCACCCCTTCTGCTTGTGCTGTCAGAATAAGAAAAAGTGGCTCTGGCTAGTTCTCCTCCCCACTCCCTGCATTTCAGGTGGAATGATTTTACTTCATGGAAGTGAGTGCTTTAGTAAGTGCTTGCCTGCAGAGCTTGCATCGGGAGTTAGGGAAGGATGAAAAATGCAGTAGAAGTTGGCCTCATCAGGATGTGAAATTGACTGTGAACAGTGTGATTTATTAAAGACAACTGTTTGTGCTGGTTAAAATGTGCACTCAGCTCCTAGCAAGGATCTCTTGCTCAGAATGGAGGAAGCTCCCTGAGGGTGGTCCCAGCTGCCCCTTCCTCTGTCTCTCCTTGCCAAATCCTCTTGCAGGCTCAGCCCTTAGCAGGGGCCATATAATTGTGGCTTTAACAGTTTTAATAAAGGGTCATGCAGGCACTGGGAACATGCTCTTCAATGCTCACAGTCTAAATTAGGCACTAACCAAGACAAAGGATATAAGCGTGCTCATCTATGCTTTCTCTGTCTCCCACCACAGCGACAAGAAAGGGCGGCCCCAGGAGATGGGGGGACCGAGTGAGTGAGTGCTAGCTGAGGTCTGAAAACACCATCCTGAAGCTTCTCCCTCTCTGTTACCTTGAGCACCTGGAGTAGGGGGATGAAATGAGATTTGAAGGCCAAGGATTTAAAGGAAAAGAATCCTGGCCAGCAACGTTCACCATGTGACCTGAAGCAAGCTGCTGCTGTCTGAGCTTCAATGGTCAAGTGTACTGTGGAGCCACACAGCCTTGAGTTCTAATGTCCAATGAGCGTTTAGACCTTGGGAAAGCTACTTCTCCGAGCCTTAGTTTCCGTATCTACTAAATGGGGCTGGTGACACCTGTGTGATAAGGTGGTTGTGAGAATGAGGGATGTACCCAGCCAAGCCACATGTAATGCTCAGTAAATGTCTGTCTCCTCTGCTCCATGCGTGAGCACCCAATTTAGTAGAATGCCCTTCCCCCTGCAGATTCCCCTACAACAGTAGTTCCCAAAGTGTGGTTCTCAGACCAGCAGCATCCACATCACCTGGAACTTGCTAGAGATGCAGATTCTCAGGCCTACCCCAGATCTACTGGATCAGAAACTGTGGGGTGGGGCCCTGCAGTCTGCGTTTCAGCCTGTCCTCCAGGTGATTCTGATGCAGACTTGCTGTTCTGGGATTTTCTGCTTCAATTTCGAATAGATGACAACCATCTAGTCCTTTCTCCTGAGAGGACGTGAAAGTGAAAGTGACAGCTGACCATTTTTTGAAAAAACTGTGAGGCCTGAACACCGGGGTTTGAGTTCCAGGTATGTAAACTCTGTGAGGGTAAGGAATTATCATTAGAGCCTTAAGGTAGCAAAAGCCTGTTCTTCAAAGCTTCTGTCCATCTCCCCCACGTTTGGAGTTAGATCCAGTGGTTTATAGGCTCAGAAGCCTGAGGCAGCTTTGCTGTTGCTGTGTATCTTTTGATAAGATAACCAGCCCTCTGATGGGAGAAGGCTCCTGCCTCATAGGCTTATTAAGATTAAAACTCTAAATTTAGCTCTGGAGGAAGGTCTGCAGGCTTAGGGCCATTTGATGAATGACTCCATGATATCTCCAGACTGCAACTACTAGAGTAAATAAGATTTAAATACAGCTGCCAAGCCACCTTATCGTTTCCCCCTATCAGATCTGAACATGGTTAAACTAAGTGCTGTCAGTGCCAGCTCAGTGAATGAAGGCAGCAGTGCATAAAGTCATTCTGAATAATTAATGAGATAATGGTTGTGAAGCTGGTGGGATGGTGCAGAGAGTGCCAGGGCAGGGCCAGTGTGTTTCCAGATCCGGTGTCAGCACCCTAGGTCTAGGGTCTGGTGCATGAGGCAGTTCTTTAAGGAAAGAAGCACTCATCCTCCAGTGGCCTCAAAATAGAAAATGCCACCAAAGCAGAGATATGTACATACAGTTAGGGGCTGATATTCAGGATATCTAACAAATGGCAGGGCACAGGCATGGACCAGTGGATCCAAAGAGATGGTGGCAAGTGCAGGAGCAGGCCCTTGGGGCCTCTGCAGAACCACATGTGACCCCTCTTTTTGTAGCAGAAGACAAGTCATGAGGGAGAGGCCAGGACCATGGCTTTTACTCACTCTAGGGTAGCATATCATTCTTTTAATGTCAGGTATAGTCTCTCTGATGCACACCAGCTGAGTGTCAGCCTTGAGGGCACATGCTGAGGCTATGCTCAGGGTCAGTGAGAGAGGCCCCCAAATTCATCAGTCACCAAGTCTTATAAATCCCTCTTTGGCAGCATCTCCTGGAGTCGCCTCTTTCCCTTCATTCTACTTCCCCATTGGATATATCCCTCTCTGAGCCAGCCCATTAGTAAACCCTCTGGAGGTTGAAATTTATCAGTTTCATATTGGTCTTAACCAGGTTGGCTGTGTGGGCTGTTACATGTGCATAGTGCACCCCATGGACGTGGATGGATATGTTGGTGACATTTAAGAATCATATTAGGTTGGTGCAAAAGTAATTGAGGTTTTGCCATTGAAAGTAATGACAAAACTACAATTACTTTTGTTCCAACCTAATATATCCTTCACATTTGCAGACGTAGGCTTTGACCAAGAAGAGTTTGTCTTAGGAGGTGAATCTTGTTTTCTTTACAACCTGGTGGTTCTTAGGAGTGATGGGAATCTCCTCTCTTTCCTTCCTTAGAATGGTTTTGAGTCACTGGGGGGACATTACTCTATGGGACCAGAAAGTAAGAATCTATCATTTTAGCTGAAAGGACCCAAGAGCCAAGCTGGGAAGGTCATAGCGCTGTTCAGCCCTCAGAACTGGGAACCAGAAAGTTGATGACTGCACAGTGGATGAGCCAGAGGGACAGCAGGCAGTGGGGTGCTGGAGCCTCTAGCTAGAAAACTTGCCTTGGTGGAAGGAGGGAGGAAGTTAAGGCAGTATTAATGCTAGATAAATCGTGGATAATGGTAGATTTAAAAAACTAAGGGACAGACATCATTCAGACTGTTTTCCACATAGGACTCAACCTGCCACCCTGGGCTTGGGATGTGGACTCTGGGCCTTTGTGAGGTGATGTGGCTTCAAGCAAGAATATCACTATTGGATTGAAATCAAAACCAAAGTTTGAGAATCTGCTAGCTGGGTGCTCTATGACAAGTTATTTACCTTTCTGAGCCTCAGTTTCTGCCTCTTAAAATGAGAATAGTAATTTCTACCTCAGAGTGTTGTAAGAATTAACTAAGATTGTGTATTCTTTGTTGTAAATGGTGTAGTAGATTGCATATTCTTTGTAGACCATTTGCATGTAGACAGAGACTATGGTGCTGGGTGGCTAGGAAGAAAGCTTCCCTGAAGTTTGTTCATGTGCTGGCCATCAGCCATTGTCTTCTAAAAATGGGTACCAGTAGGATGTGGTCTTTGAAACAGCCCTGTTAGAGACAAGATGGTGGTCACAGACTCGGGAGTGCTGCCCAGCCTGACAGCCAAGTGAGCCTCTGATGGGGTAATTGATAGCTCAGACACAATTCAGCAACTCAATTAACTCATCTCCCATTAGGATGGATTGATTTCTTCCTTGGGATAGGAATTTGTGCTGGTTCAGCAACAGCAGCCTTCCCACTGCTGAATGCATCTGTGTGGTTAAGAAAGCTTTTCCAGTCCTCCTGCCCCACAGAGGCCTCAGGGGAAGAAGGCGTGATTAGGGGAGCCCAGTGTTCAGTCCTACACATGATAAGTCCCCCTGCCCCTAGGAAGATGAAGGACCGAAGGTCCATCATTATTTTATTTTTATTTTTATTACATATTTTTTTTAGAGGCTCACTCTGTTGCCCAGGCTAGAGGTGCAGTGGCACAATTTCGGCTTGCTGTAACCTTTGCCTCCCGGGTTCAAGTGATTCTGGTGCCTCAGCCTCCTGAGTAGCTATGATCACAGGTGCACGCCACCACGCCCTGCTAATTTTTGTATTTTTAGTAGAGACCAAGTTTTGCCATATTGGCCAAGCTGGTTTTGAACTCCTGGCCTCAAGTGATTTGACCGCCTCAGCCTCCCAAAGTGCTGGGATTATAGGCATGAGCCACCATGCCTGGCCTACCATCATTTTAAAAATGAATTCTGGGGCCAGGTACCGTGGCTCACGCCTGTAATCCCAGCACTTTGGGAGGCCGAGGCAGGCAGATCACTAGGTCAGGAGACCGAGACCATGGTGAAACCCCATCTCTACTAAAAATACAAAAAATTAGCTGGGCGCAGTGGCGGGTGCCTGTAGTCCCAGCTACTCAGGAGGCTGAAGCAGGAGAACGGCGTGAACCCGGAAGGCAGAGCTTGCAGTGAGCCGAGATTGCACCACTGCACTCCAGCCTGGGCGACAGAGCAAAACATCTCAAAAAAAAAAAAAAATGAATTCTGGTCTGGGCACTGTGGCTCATGCCTGTAATCCCACCACTTTGAGAGGCCAAGGCAGGTGGATCACCTTGGGTCAGGAGTTCAAGACCAGCCTGACCAACAAGGAGAAACTCTGTCTCTACTAAAAATACACAATTAGCTGGGCATGGTGGTGCATGCCTGTAAATGCAGCTACTCGGGAGGCTGAGGCAGGAGAATCACTTGAACCTGGGAGGCAGAGGTTGCGGTGAGCCAAGATCGTGCCATTGCACTCCAGCCTGGGCAACAAGAGTGAAACTCCGTCAATAAATAAATAAATAAATAAATAAATAATTATTTTTTCTCACATCTTTTGTCTGAACACCCTGAGGCATAAAAAGCCCAAGACATTGCAATGCTTAATCTATGATTAATGCTGCAAATCTATGATTTGCTAACATCCCAATGTTATCTTTAAAATTTTCAAATGTCAGCTTCATTGAGACATACTAAATGCATCATTCAAGGTATACAATTGGCTGAATTTTGCCAGTTTTATACACCCTTGAAATCAGTCTCACAATCAAGATATAAAACATCATCATCCCAAAAGATTCCTAGGGCCCCTGCACAACCTGTCGCCGCCCAGCCCCAGGCAACCCCCGATATGCTTTTTGTAACTGTAAGTATACATTTTATATAAATAATATATACTGTATTATTTTGCCAAGGGCTTCTTCACTCAGCATAGTTTTGTTGTCATGGTAAATTACACAAAACATAAAATTTACCATTTTAACCATTTTTAGGTGGCATTAAGTACATTCATATTGTTATGCAGTCATCACCATCCGTCTCGAGTTTTTTTCGTCTTGCAAAACTGAAACTTTATACCCATTAAACACTGCCTTCTCATTTCCCCTCTCCCTTGAGCCCCTGGCAGCCATCATTCTACTTTGTGTGTCTGTGAATTTGATTACTCTACATATTTCATAGAAATTGAACCATATAGTATTCTTTTGTGTCCGGCTTATTTTACTTAATATGATGTCTTTAGGGTTCATCCATGTTGTAGCATGTGTCAGAATTCCTTCCTTTTAAAGGCTAAATAATCTCTTGTATTTTTACACCATGTTCTGCTTATCCATTCATTTGTTGATGGATACTTGGGTTGCTTCCACCTTTTGGCCGTTGTGAATTATTCTATGAACATGGCATACAAATACCTCTTCTAGTTCCTGCTTCATTTCCTTTGGATATTGGTGTGGTTTGGCTGTGTCCCCACCCAAATCTCATTTTGAATTATAGCTCCTCAATCCCCATGGTCATGGGAAGGACCCGGTGGGAGGTAGTTGAATCATGGGGGTGGGTTTTCCTGTGCTGTTCTCAGGAATAGTGAGTAAGTCTCATGAGAACTGATGGTTTTATAAAGGGCAGTTCCCCCGCACATGCTCTCTTGCCTGCCACCATGTAAGATATGCCTTTGCTCCTCCTTCGCCTTCTACCATGATTGTGAGGCCTCCCCAGCCATGTGGAACTGTGAATCCATTAAACCTCTTTTTCTTTATAAATTACCCAGTCTTGCATATGTCTTTATTAGCAGTGTGAGAATGGACTAATACAGATATGTATGTGGTAATTCCAGGTTTAATTTTTGGAGGTGCCTCCATACTGTTTTCCACAGTGGCTGTACCATTTCATATTACCTTTTATTTATTTATTTTTTTTATTTTTCTGAGACGGAGTCTCGCACTGTCACCCAGGCTGGAGTGCAGTGGTGCAATCTCAGCTCACTGCAACCTCCTCCTCCCAGGTTCAAGTGATTCTCCTGTCTCAGCGTCCCCAGTAGCTGGGATTACAGGCACCTGCCACCACACCCCGCTAATTTTTTGTATTTTTAGTAGAGAAGGGGTTTCACTATGTTGACCAGGCTGGTTTCAAATGCCTGACCTCGTGATCCACCCGCCTCGGCTTCCCAAAGTGCTGGGATTACAGGTGTGAGCCACCGCGCCTGGCCACACATTACCTTTTAAAGAAGGTTTTTCACTGGACCTGCTTCTTGTTCTGATTATCCTTTCTCTTTTCAGAAAACATACCCTTTGACTTCACATGGCCCTGTGTGCTGATGCTCTTTTCCGTCAGTATCAAACCGCAGGCTTTCCATTCCTTTCAGACTGATATAATTGCTCAGAGAATTGGTCAGCCATAATAACGCCAAGTAAAGTTATTACTTAGTTAATTAACCAAGTTATTACTTGGTTATTACAATTTAATGCTGACCTTCTCTTCGCTTCAGCCATTTCCCTCTGTGTCCTACCTGTTTCTCATTAGCTGTAGTTATTATACAGCTCACTGATATCCTATTAACAATGTCATGATACAACCACCTACATCCTATTAACTCTACCTATTATGCCACCTACATTGGTCCTCTTAATTGAATCTATTGTGCCATACATCCTAGTTATCTGCAATTAGCTATATCTGTCAAATAATCTGTCCTATTAATTATATTATCCAATCTCTTGCAACTGTTGTCTGACTTTCTGGGAACCTGTTCATATATCTTTGACGCTACCTGGCTGTGATCTGTTAAAAACTGATCACCTGTTTAGATCTTGTTAGATCCAGATATCAAAAGCCCTGCAGGAAATTACACATATTGATTCTGGGGACCCAGCCTTGAATGTGCAGAGTGTGTAGGGGGCTTCAGCCCTAAAGTACACTCTTAAGAAGGATATTTTCCTTTGACCAATAGCATACTGCCCACCAGGCAGTATGAGCCACATTAATGGGGAGAGAGACAGAGACAGAGAATGTGAGAGTATGTATGTTGGGAGGATGCCTTGTGGGAAGAATGGGGTTGGCATAAAAGGAATGGGGGTTGGGAGTCTCACTCCTGGTGGAGAAGGGAAAGCCTGGAAGGAGAATACCCAGTGGGGAGGGGTGCATGGGTGGGGGACAGTGGACTGCAGGGGGAGGAAGTCAGAGTTTGTCAGGGCAGAACCCTTTTTGACACCAACTTTTTTTGTTAGTGACCAACAAGCCTGCATGACTGTGTACCATAGCAGCCCTTGGAATGTTGCCAGAATGACAGCTTCTCCCCTTTGCTTTCCAGCCTTACCATTCCACTGTTATTTGAGCTGCTGATGAAGATGAGGCTCTGCCCCAAGCCTACCCCTGCCCCCCTGGGCCACATCAGTGCTTGCTTAGCAGGCCCACAGTCAGAGACCTTGTGTCTACAGGCCACCAACAAGAGAGAGTCAATGCCTAGGACAGGGCCAGGCATATAGCAAGGGCTTGTGAAGTAGTTGGCTGAGTAGTGCTGAAGGGTGACATGTAGAATCTGTCTCTTCTGGAAGAGGTGTGGTGTTGACCGGTCCCCTTGCCTGTGTGTCTGAGCCACAGTGATGGGAGCTCTGAAGGCCTCCAGGGAGGATGGGTCCATCTGGAAGCTCAGGGACAGTACCTAACTGCATTGGGATAAATAGTATTCCTCCCGGAATTCACGTGGACCTGGTACCTCAGCATGTGACTTCATTTGGAATCACCATTCATGATGATTCTGTCATCACAAATCTTACTCCTGAGGTTAGGAAAGGATAAGGAGCCCTTGACAGCTGTCTGGTACATGCCACGTCTACTGTCTGTAGGAAGGTGTGTGCTTTAAAAAGTCCAGTGAGCTGTGGGCATGTAACAATTATCAAGTGGTCCTATATTAATCTTTTGTATTTCTAAAACACTTTGTGAAAGCACTACCAAATCTGTGATCTTATTTTATTTGCATGCTTTTAAAAAATTACTCTGAGCTGTCATTGTGTAGATGGGGAAACTGAGGCCCTAGTAGGGTCTCATAGCACAGTCAGGATTATAAGTCTCCTAAGTGCTATCTAGCCACCTCTCTGGATGGCATATACAGTAAGAATGGGGAGAATTTTCACAACCTAGCTATGGCCCGTGCTAAACATGTCTATGCCTCACCTCTGGGCAGTCTTGGGGACAGTCTTCCTTACAGCCCTGTGTGTTACGCGGAAGCTTTCACAGGGTGTCACTTGATAGCCACGGGTGCCAAGCAGAGCTGTGCAATGCCCCAGGCCTAGCATTGTGTAAATGAAACATCCCCATTGGCCCATCTTCACAGCTGGCCTCTGGGCTCCATGTTTACCAAACACTGCTGATGCCTCACTCCAAACACAGCTGGAGTCCAGGAGTGCTTTCTGTGTCCAAAGCCCGCTCCCCTCATCCTGCTCCCTGAACCCACTGAGGAGCAGGTGTTGGCCGGTCCCCTGGCATCTGTGCCTGAGCCACAGTAATGAGAACTCTGAGGGCTTCCAGCAGGATGGGTCCATGTGGAAGTTCTGGGAAAGTACCTGGCTGTATTGAGCTAGTGTTCCCCTGCAAATTCATGTGTACCTGGCACCTCAGAATGTGACTTCATTTGGGAATAGGTTCTTTATGGATATAACTTGTCAGGCATCTTGAGAGGAAATCCTCCTGGATTTGGAGTAGCCTTTAAATCCAATGATTGGTGCCCTTGAGAGGACAGAGGGAAGAAGGCTCTGTGAAAATGGAGGCAGTGATGCTGCCATAAGCCAAGGGATCCTAGGAGCCACCAGAAGCTGGAAGAGGTAAGGAAGAGTTCCTGCCAACACCTTGATTTCAGACTTCTGGCCTCCAGAACTAAGAATACATGTCTATTGTTTTAATCTACTAAGTTTGGTAAGTTGTTATGGTAGCCACAGGACACATACTGGCTGCCTAGCAGGAGGTGGAGCTGTGGGGCTGGTCCTGGAGCCAGGCTGCCAGGGGTCGTCTGCTGCCCTCACCTCTCTTGCCTGCAGGGCCTGGGAGAACACTGTGGAAAGCCAGGCTAAGGCGCAAGGAAGACCAGGGCTTGACTTCCCTGTTGTCACTCTAATCTTGGTAGAGAAAGACTTCTGTGCCCTCCCACCGTTACTATTACTACCTTTTTTTAGTTCCCATGCTATGCCAGGCACTGTGCAAGTCTTTACATCATTTCACTCCATCCTTATAAGGACACTATTCAGTAAGTTGCTGTATCCCTAGTTTTTCATTTGAGATTCATTAACTTGCTCGAGGTTCCACAGCTGGCAAGTGGCAGAGCCAGAATTTGAACTCATCCCATTTAAGAGCCTGCACATATACCACTATGCTACAGTGACTTCCCCATGCCATATTAATAATCATGACAGCTAATGGTTGACATAACAAGAAGAGAACCTGTAATCACCCCCAGGGGCTTCCCGCAGCCTCCTTCCTATTCCTACCACTGTCTGTCTGCCTGCCTCCTCCCTATGCAGCAGCCACGTCACATGATCCCCGTTCCTTGGATGGCCTATAAGGTGGTCTTCCTCTAGTAGCTGGGCCCTGTCCCTTCCCATCTGACAAACTCTTGCTCAGCCCACGTGGCCCAGTTTAAATGTGCTCTGTGCATTCCATCATCTAGTGCTTACCACATGATCATAAATCCCACTGGTGTATGTGTGTGTCTTTCCCAAGTTGGAGTGGGAGTGCCTTTGACATGGGACTGTGTCTTTCCCTTTCGGCATCTTGTATCTTCCCCAGCATCTCTGGCTCTCCAAAGCCCCCAGTAAATGTTTGAGTAAGTGAAACATGCAGAAGACATGAAGATTGTTAAGTAACAAATACTCAGCAGAAAGGGCTGTTAATTTTAAAAAAAGAAGAAAAAGAAAAGAACATCAGATATTCTAAGACAAGTATTTGTAGAGGGAATCACTAAAAGCTTTCAGTTTTGAAAGCAAATATTTAATTTAGGCTCCCCCTTCTGTGTGCTTACAAATGGCACTAAATTCAGTATAATGCTTAATCTACATTTTGAGATTTACTATGGGACTCATGGACTTTAAGAAAAAAATGTAGTTCATTGTAAATGCCTACATTTCACAGTCGTTCGTTTCTTTTAACACACACAATTGGATTGACAAAGGTAATGACTTCCTAGCTAGCCATATTCAAAAGAAATGTCAAAAATTTAAATTTATAAAGCTCTCTGTGAAATGTTGTGATGCCCCAATCAAATGACCCTCCTGATCTTGCCCGGCACCCTTTCCCTCTTGGCTGCTGGCGCCTTCCTGTCTCATTGCCAAGGACAAGCCACGTCTGCATGTCTCTATCCCACCCCTCACCACTTAGAATTCTTGAAACCTCTGGGGAGGCTGACCAAGAAGGACAGAGGACCCTATATTTGGGCTTCTGGAACCTAAGTGCCCCAGGGCTCAGAGCTCCTATTAGTGTTATTTCACATTTACTACAAGTTTAAAAAAAAAAACACACAACGGTGATGATGACGGTGATTTTTGTGTCTTGTCCATGAATCACACAATATTATTCTAGGGGGAAACGTACCCTGATTTCAAACAACTCATCTAAAAGTACAGATTTTGGAACATGACCTACATGTTTACAGTGCCACATGAGACTACACTCAGACTCATGGACTTTTTTCCTTTTTCAATTACTAACTGCTTTAGTCCTCTAAACGTGGATTCTTCTTTTTTTTTTTTTTTTAAACCAATACTGGGTCTAACTCTGTGGCCCAAGCTGGAGTGCAGTGGCACACTCATAGCTCACTGTAACCTCTAACTCCTGATCTCAAGTGATCCTTCCTCCTTGGCCTCTCAAGTAGCTAGGACTACAGAAACATGCCACCATGCCTGGCTTATTTATTATTTATTTATTTATTTATTTATTTATTTATTTATTTATTTATTTATTTATGGTAGAGATGAGGTTTCACTATGTTTCCCAGGCTGGTCTCCAACTCTTGGACTCAAGTGATCCTCCCACCTCAGCCTTCCAAAGTGCCGGGATTACAGGTGCCTGGCTCTAAACATGGATTCGTTAAAAGCTTGCCCTATTTCTTTTTTTTTTTTTTATTATACTTTAAGTTTTAGGGTACATGTGCACATTGTGCAGGTTAGTTACATATGTATACATGTGCCATGCTGGTGCGCTGCACCCACTAACTCGTCATAAACATGGTTTGTGTTTGCAATAGTGCACTCCTCATTTTATGCTGACTCTGATGGGAATGTAGGACTCAATTGCTGAAGTTGTCATTACAGCAGACTTTCCTGGAGGCCTTTGTTGTTTGTCAGGTTGCCTTCTCCAAAAGGGGACAGTTTGCCCATGTGGGATGTCCTGCCCCAAGCATTTCTAACTGCTCTTCCATCTCTGTCCTCCCTCTGCAGGCTGGCCTTGGGTGACCCTCTCTGTCCTGGGATTCCTGTACTGCTACTCCCACGTGGGCATTGCCTGGGCCCAGACCTACGCCACGGACTAATGCTGTTGGGCCCAGGCCAGTCCTTGTTGCTGGCCTCCAAGGCAAATAGTGCTTCACCCTGACCTCTCACTCCAGGACAGCCTCTAAGGGATTTGATCTGCTCATCTTCAGTTGAATGCCCTCACTCCAAGACTGGATGCTGGATCTCATAGAAAATTCACAGCCAGACAATCTTCTAATCTGGAGTCTTTGAGATCTTCTACCCCAACTCATCATTTTCCTATTGAGGAAACGGGTCCAGGGCAGTCGTGTGTCTTACCCAGCTACACAGGGTGACATTTTGGTCTAGAACCTAGTCTCATGAGCCCTTTGCATTCTTTCCCCTTAAGCAAGAATAGAATGTAGTGGAAATTTATTGATTGAGACACAGAAATCCTGATTAGTGATAGGCCTGTCTTCTGGGCAATATTTCTAAAATATTTGAGTGACATTGATGTTTAAGTGACCTCCTTCATCACATCCTGCAGTATCTCCAGAAGCAGCACTAGGGTTTGAGTTTCATGCTTCAGCCCCTCTGTAGGAATGAGACCAAGCCACAGCTGTCTTTTGAATTACGTAGTCGAAGAAGACGGTAGCAGCCCTGTAGCATTCTAAGGCATCTATACCCAAGGAGTCCTGTGATCTGAGCTTCAGCAGGGTGATCTACATTTGGGTGCTTGTTTCTGAGATTTGCAGAGAAGTATAACATGGTAGTTCCTCTACCTTACAGTTAATCGTTTCTTAATAAAGAAGCAGAATTTAGAAACCACAGGATAGTGTACCCACAGATGGGTGTTATCAAGGCCAGTCATGAGGATGGTGTCCTGGAGTCTTGTCCACCCTCTCCATACAAGTCTCAAAAGTCATCCTCCTACTCAGTGATTCACGTTTAGTGGTTTATATTATTAAGGTTTGATTCAAACAGAGCCTTTTCTGTCCTGTAGATAATCTACATGTTTGTAGAATTATTTTGAATATGTTTGAGGAAAATGTTTAAAATCTAAATATACTCACATAACTTGATTATTCACTCCTCTGAAAAGATGCTGGATAGGCTACCAAAGTTCCCAAGTGGTAGATAATTCAGAAGACTTGTTTGAATTTGGATTTTTTTTTTTTTTGGAGTGGGGAAGGGTATAAAGGAGGCTTAAAATTTGAATCCATAATATATCTAATTACAGGAGAATTTACAACATCTCAAGTACGTAAATTAAGTTGTCATTGAGTGAAAGGTTCACTTGGACCTAGTGCTGCCTCCTGTTTATTACATAGCATGGCCCTTATGTCTTGAGTTGAGGTTATCATCTCAATGAGGCTTTAGCTCCTAGAGTACAGGACCATTTTGTTGATTGTCTTTCTTCATAGCTTCTCTGCTTGGCAAAGAGATGGGAGGGGGCCAGATACTGACTACCTGGGGTAGGCACATTATGTGTTAAAGCAAGACAGAGGCCAGAGAGGGGCAGGTAGACCTGCATAGCAGCAGCCTCAGCAGCTGTCTTGGTAAAGGAGAGAGAGAGACATGGGGCCAGTAATTCCGGGGTGCTCAGAAGTTTTAGGAGGGGATGAGCCTCAGGGAGGAGTGAGCACCTAAATGAACGCAGTAAACCTTCATGGACCAACAGTGATTGAGGATTTGTGGGCAGCCAGAGGGAGTCTGACTGAAGTTTACTTGGAAAGAAAGGGCTTGCTAAGAAAAAAGGGAGTAAAAATGATGATAGGGAAGTGTCTAATGTATGTGCACATATAAGTAATACAAAAGTTTTGAGCTCTTCCAAGTATACCATTTATATACAAACAAATAGGTTTATTCATTCATTAAACTACTTTGGAAGCGTCAGTGGATATATTTGAAAGTGGTAATCCTGAATCTCTTTTAAACTATTATATGATTCATAATGGTTCTCAGGAATTAATAAATGATTACTGTGTTTAGCTCTGTATTTGAGGCTGATTAATTAATATGTGGATTATCCAGGACCATTGTTTTGCTTAACCTCTTCCTACTCCCCACTTGTAATATGAAAATGATAATGCTTCTCTCCTCATGCATATTCACTAAAATCTTGTAGTTACTCTGAATGGTGGTGCCTGGGCGCACAGAGGAGTTCAGGCAATGACACTGGACATGTCATCAGCCCTGGGCAACTTCAGGCGCAGTGTTGGGAAAAGAATAGACAAGGTCCCAAGGTCAATTCCAGCGCCTGGATCCTCTGATCCCAGCCTCGCTCTGCAGGCAAGCCCAAGAGCTCCAAGCACAATCGCCAAGATGCTACCCAAGGAGGGAAGCAAGATACCTGAAGGACACCCAAACCTCAGTCATTCTAATTCTTGGGACCACACAAGAAGACTGAAAGGTATTATTTTTTCAAATTAATTTGAAGTGTCAGCAGAAAACATTTTGTTTCATTAAAGACAGCAGGCCTCAAGAAAAAATAAATCAATGAACAAATAATTGTATTATAATCTATATACTGGGAGAATAGCAGTTTAGGTAGGGGAGGGGGTGGCTTCTCCTGACAGAAAGTGAGACTGCTCACTTGCTTATTTAGAATAATAATATAACCATTGACTAAACATAGTAAATTAACCGTAATATAATGAGTTTGGTTTTTAGCAGATGTATCAGAATATATCCATACAATAGGGTTCCCTTCAGTGTGGACAACATGAGAAGCCAAAGTATGATACTACTGGCCTCAGCACATTTTGAGAAAGCCTCTCTGAGGCTTTCTCAGGGAAATGGTTTTATTTTAAAACAAAAAACCCTCTTTTTAAAATCATTGAACTCCATTTGGCACCCAAAACATGGCATTCATTACTTAGCTCTATATTACTCGTCCTTTTGACTAATTACAAGAATCATATTCACAGAGATGTTTTGCAACATTGAAGAGATCAGACAGAATGCTTTAGGTTGTGTGTGGTGGCTCACACCTGTAATCCCAGCACTTTTGGGAGGCTGAGGCAGATGGATCACTTGAGGTCAGGAGTTTGAGACCAGCCTGGGCAACAGAGTGAGACCCTGTCTCAAGAAAAAAAAAAAAAAGAATAATAAGTTATTAGTGATAATTTTGAAACATCAATAATTTGGAATTTTAAACAATATCACCCTTATTATTTTTATAATGCTTTTGTGCAATTTGATTAAATCATGGGTAAGGAAACATTAAAAATACTGTACCCCTACTGTGATCCTATAAGATCAAGTAGACGCTTGTAGGTCAGATTCCTCATCTCCTAATTAAGTTATACTGTCTATAATAAGAGAAGTGCCATGTTTGTAATGTGGTCCACTGGATGGTAAATAAGGACTCAGGTTGGCAGTATTGTGGAGCCTTGCCATGAGCAGGAAGCAACACCGATTAAAATAGCAAAACTGAAACCATGCTGGTGTATGGGACTATTTCGATTAGAGGCAAGCTAACTTAATAGCTTCTGAGACTATCAATGAAGTGTAAAGCACAGATCAGAGCTCATATTGTAGACACTGAGTCATTCAAAAAAGATTGTTATATTCTTCATACTACGTTTTAAAAGGCAGGAGGGAAGCATTAATATATTTTATACAAATTTCAATCCAAAGTTTTCAAAATAAAAAAGTGTACATCTAAGTGGGGTGGGAGGTGTCAGCTTTGGGTATCTCAGATCCGTGTGTCATACAGTTTTCCGTGATCCCAGGCACTGAAGTCAACATCTGTGCCCTTGTACAGCAGCTGCAGCTGTACTTTAAGATTGTACAGCTGCATACCTTCATGTCCATTCTCTCACTATTTGGTACTTTGACACACAATCTTGGTGAATCTTGGACTTTAAGTTCTCAAAAAACTATAAGTGCTGTCCAAATAAGAGCTTCCCAAACTCTTGAAGAGAAAATACCATCCTTGTTCTGTCATCTTAGGTCAGAACAGCCAATTCAGTGACCTAAAAGTAATGTAAGGAAAGGCAAAAGCAAGTATCATGTATAAAATAGTTTATTACCATAATAAATAAAACTTTTTTTTTTTACAAATATCATTTGTGCTTGTTTAAAAATGTTGAGAAGGGAATATCATCAATGGAAGGGCCTGCACGTTCCTCTTAACATTCCCAAGCCACAGATATACAGTGGTGTTCTTGGCAGCATCCTCAGCTGACCACAAAAATAGTATCAGCTCATTTACACTTTTGTTTATTCATGCTCATTTGGACAAAGTGACAGATGCAAAGGAAAAAGAAAACCCAATAAAGGATTTGGCAGGACTCAATGGAAAGAGTATTAATATAAGGAGAAGCCCCAGAATGATGAACTGCTCATAAGTAGAAGTGTCCTTGAGGTGTCGGTGAAATGTCGGATGTGGACAGTCTCCAACTGATGCACAAATACAGCATCGGAATATTAAGAGAATACATTCATTAGGGGAGGGTGCATCCTTCAACATAAGATCAGTTTATATCCTGATACAAGATCTGTGAACTTCTCATTGAACAACTAATGGATCCGTCGGATGACTCAGAAGTCACAGATAAAGGGACAGTGGCTGTAAGAAAAGTTTAATGGCAGGCAGGGAGGGCACCCACCAGTCTGGCACCTGCAGGGAATTCAAGTCCAGTTCTAGAGGTTCCAGAATAAGTCTGATATGCTTGCATGAGAATGAAGTTTCACTTGAATTTAAGCTGCAGATAAATTCACATTGATTCTTTTGAGCTGTAGGGGGTAGAAATTAAAACTTCTCAACATGAACACCTTTGGTGAGAAAATGTTTTTTTCTCTGATGTTTGCAGTCAGTGCTGAGAGGATCATGAAGTCTCCCCCAGGTGGAGGGCACAGGAGCTGGTGAAGGTAATTTTTAATTGAAGCGAGTGAGAAGGCAGTATATAGAGCAATAACAATGATTTAGCAACAGAGGGAGGCTGTCTGGGGCATCAAGTGTGCCCTCAATGGCCTCCTCTTTAAGCAACACTAGGTGATAAGGGAGGAGAGAGGAAGGGGCATTGGCAGCTCTATCACAGCTGGAGTTCCATTCAAGGGTCTTAAGGCTAAACGTCTTTATTGCAAGACATAGTAAAACCTATTAATCAAATGCACATCAGCAACGTGTATCTCCACCAGGGCTCCTAAAATTTCCCAGAGTATGCATGGGAGACATAGTGGTCAGTGCAACAAGGGGAAATGAGAATCTTCCTATACCTAGTCTTCCTATACCTAGTATTCCTAAAGAGTTCATTTAGTCCCCACAAGGGCCTGGACAAAGAGCTTGACAGTTGGCATAATACTTCTACCTTCCATTTAAGGATTTGGAGAGGAAGCTTGCTGAATGGGATGGGGTGGTATAGTACATTTTTACCCCTGCCCAGCCCTCCCCACTTTTGAAAGAGGAGGATTCCAGGAAAGGGGCTGATGTTTGGCCAACAGCAGCACACTGGATCGAAGAGGTTGTGGGTAAAACAGTCCCCAGGGATTGGATAACAAGAAGAAATCAAGTAAGAAATGCATTTCCAAAAGTTTGCTGGAAGGCTGCTAAATGGGCTCAGCTTTTTAAATACTTGGGCTATCCTGTAGCATTAATGTTGTAACCTTATTAGCATAATGTAGCATTGCATTAATGCAATGAGTTGCATTCATGAATGCAATGAGTTGCATTAATTGTACACTAGACAATTTGGTTTCTCAACCAAATGGTCGTCTCTGTTTCCGTCCTTTGGCTATCTTGTCATGTCCAGTGGAGGAGCCCTTTGTAAGTATATGGGATGGCAGCGCCCATTGCTGGAGTCAATGCCCCCCCACCAAGAACAAACACCACCTCATTGACCATCTTAGTTCTTAGAGTTAACCTTAAACCCACCCCTCCATCAGCCGGGAGGAGCACGTTCAACCAGCAGCCAAGTGACAGGGACAGGACCTACCCTCTTCAAAGCAGCCTGTCAGGATATTCTCTGGGAAATGGAGCTTCAATATGAATGACATTCAAAGTAAAGAATTTAGTAGAAATCAAATAACCAGCACTTACTAGATAATGGTGCCACATATCATGCCCCGACTCCTCAAAGAGGAAAAACATACATCCTGGGCAAATCTGTTCTCTCTTGGCATACTTTTTCTGAAGTCTAAATGTTCTGTCCCATACCTAGTAACTTTTTGTTTCCCTAATCTCTCTCCAGCCACCAGATAATGGTTTATACTGGAAGGCTCAGGTCACTGGTATCTGAGGCACATGGTCCTGGCTCGGGAACCCAGAGTGGCATCCTGGCATGGGAAGGCAGTCAGCACAAAGCAGCCTGCGGTCAAGTTCATGGTGCGAAAAGGAAGGGAGAAAGGTTTGGCTCATTTACACAATGTTTTTTCAAAGAAAACAATTACAGCAAAAAATCCCTCAAATCCTAGGGAGGATTACAGGAGAATAAAGCCCATGCACCCACACGTGCACCTGTGACCCAAGATGAACAGATTCCTGCCGCAGGAGCTGGCTTCCAGTCATGAGCCCAGTTTGCGCTGATTCACGAGTGCATTCCTAAAGCTACATTCCCCCCAAGAACATGTCTGGACTTCAAAGCCTTATACCATCTTTGCCCCTCATACCCAGAGGTCTGAGAAATTTCACGGACATCCGTCTCCCTCAGGCAGAGCTGGAGGGAAATGGCAGGGCCTCTTGACATTGACCGTTGGGTGCCAGACAAGAAGCCTGTCATCAAGTCCCTGGAGAGCTGAGAGGCAAAAAAGTGTCTCCAGTGGCAGGTTCTTCTGAGGCTGGGTTTTGGGGGTGATTAGAGGCCTGCCCTGCCTTAAAAGTGGTGGGTCCTAAACTTCAGAAGCAGGTTGAGGAGCATGTTTAAGAAATGGCAGACTAGAATGTTAGGGGGCAGCCAACAGATGGGATTCCAGATATTTTACGGCCTCTTACCCAAGGACTGGTTGGCAGCTTCTCAAGTGAAAGAGGCTGAAGGCCTCACAGCTTTATTCAAAGTCACAGATAGTTGTGACTCGGCCTTAGGAAATTAGACTTCCTCTTACTTGTATGCCGCCATCTGAGGCTAAATCTAATTATGTCGCAACCTGGAGAAGCCAGGGGCAGCCCCTGTAAGCCTGATGTGAGAAGCTACATATGAGGTTAGGGCTCATGGAGCAGGACTCTCCCTTGAGCTCGCAGGCCTTGTCTTCCCAGGGCCATCTGTGCCAACCCTGCGAACCAGGAGAGGTCAGCCCTGCCTTGCACAGACAACCGAGGGCCCAGCCCTGGGACTCGCCGTGAGCACTGGGCAGGACTAAGGAGGTGGGGTGGGGTGGGGTGGTGGGCAGTCTCAGACCGGAGGCTCTCAGAAACACTGAATATCTTTGGTAGGGCAGAGGTACCAGGAATGGGGTCACCGTCTAACACAGGCAAAGGTAAGCTCCCTGGATAAGTCCATGCTGTCACCTGTACTCCTAATTCCATTCCCTCCAAGTTGACTTTTCAGAGCTGAACTTCTAACCTTGCGTGTCAGTATTTGGGGTCCTGACACCTCTCTCTAGGGCATATGCCCCGGCCAGCTCCACTGTGCCTGGAAGAGACTTCACTCCTTTCCTTTCTCAGATGCCATTGAGAGAAGCCCAAGCACATGAATAACCTGACTTAGGTGACCATGAGGCAGTGAAGTGTCCCCGAGCATCGTGGCATAGGGGCTTGGATGGCCCATACGCAGTTCTGTGACCATCACTGGGAGCCACAGCTCCAAGGCCACTTCTCTCCATCACCTTACAGAGAGCTGGAAACTCACTGCTTCATTCTCTTTCCAGCTCCTGAAGAGAGTACAATCATGATCCTGCAGTCTTTTTCCATTTTCTCTTGAAATCCTACTGACTTTAATAGGAAATAGAGAGACTGGCTTTAAAATAAGGCCCAGCATGGCTCCCAAGTGCCTATAATGACCCCGTGCGGTGAACAAAATACAAAGGTCTGCAGGGCAATCCCAATGAGAATCAAAGTATAAACATAGCACTTGCTACAGTTCTGAGGTTGTGTGTGTCTGTGTGTCTGCTTTGTTAATAAAGCAACTCTGGGCTCATGACCCTTCCTGCCGATGCTCCATACCCTGAGGAATGCCATGGGGACACTTGGGAAGAGGCCAAGAAGGAACAGAAGCAAGGGAGCCTGTGTGTGAGGCCAGCAGCATGGAGCAGGGCCAGAGGCTCAGCCAGGCACTCCAGAGCCCTCCCTGTCAACTGTCCCAGAGGAGCAGGCTATGGGTTGCACCGCAGAGAACCCCTGGATCTTAAGGGCCCCTCTCCAGCTCTTACCCTTGCCTCACCTCCTTTGGGGAAGGAGACCTGAGGATTCCCAGCTTCAAGTGTCTATGGGAGGCATGCACCACACCTGCAGCTGCTTTTCTGGCCTTAACCATGAGACAGAAAGTTTCTGAGCTCTACCCTCCTGTCCCTCAAGCTCTGCTTGTCCCGAGCTAGTTATAAATGACAACTACAGGAAAACATGGTGACGTCAGACACGGGCTGTACAAGGACGGGGATGCCGGGAAGTCCTTGGCCCACTGCAGTCCATGGGGGGTCTTGGCAAAGGAGCCCAGCATAGTATATACATGAGAGGTTCTCGGCACTTTCCCACCAGTCCCCAGATGGCTGCTGCTCTGTTCTGGTAGTTTTAATCTTTTACAAATATCATGGTAGTAAAAAATTAAAAATGAAGGAAAATACCCTTTAGACAGCATGTCCCTTCTTCCAAAATTGTGCAAAGACGGTTCAGATGCAGCTGCCACCTTGCAGGGTAGGGGCACGCTACCCTTCCCATATCTTTTTCCAGATAGAGAAAGAGCACGTCTAAGCCACTGGCCCCACTTTTTCTGTTAGGAAAAGCCTACTTGAAAATTGTTGGTCATGTGGACATATGTGGTAGGGGTGGTGGTGACGGCAGGGTTGGAGGTATCTGTCTCTGACTTTTTTTTTAAATAGACCTCTCAGCTGGCTCCAAAAATGTCTCTCTCTGATTCTGGGGACTGTGGCCTCGATATTTCAAACAACTCCTGAGGAGACTGAGAGGATCTTCTGGAAGTTAATATCCTGAGTATCTCAGAGAGCTGTTTCTCAATATTGGTCATTTTGGCGTTTAAGGCCTTGATGTCCTCCTTCAGCTCGTGCCTCACCTCCAGGACTGTGGCCTGCAGCGTCTGCTCAGGGATGGGGTAGAACGAATGCTTGACCTCTGCCAGGATGGGACTCCGATCCTGGGGACTCCTGGCCTCACCCACGTTGTCCAGGCGCAAGTCGCTCTTGGTGATGCCACTGTCACACGAGTCTGTCTTCTTCAGTGTGGCCTCGCCTGACGCTTTTGTCCTCTCGGGAAGTGTCTCCATCGACTCAGCCTTGGACACCTTGTTCCAGTCCTCACTCTTCCCGCAAGCATCTTTGAAGCGGGCCCAGCTTTTGCGCTTGGCACAATCGCCCCCGCCCCCCTTGGGGCCCAGGCACTCGGACCCTGGCGCCTGTAGCTTTGCGTGGTCTGGCACCCCGGAGGTGGAGGCTGCCTGGAAGGATACGGGCGTGGCAGGACTCTCACGCACGGTGACCACGCTGGCCTTCACGAGGCTGTGGTTGGCGGAGGCATGCTCTGTAAGGACATTGCCCTTCTCCACATCTAGGTCATCCAGGTCCCGGCCCCCTCTCTCAGCTGCCAGCCTGGCCTCTTTCTGCTGTCGGAATCTCTGGAAGAGGCGCCGGACAGGGTGGTCCGGGGGCAAGATCAGGGGGGCCTCATTCTTTCGTTTCATGCGTTCTTCCTCTTCACGTTTCACATCGCTGATCTTCCGGAACACAATCTGGAGAGAGAGAGAGAGAGAATGACATGGCGTGTTAGCCACATGCTGGCTGCAGCAGCCCAGCTCAGCCCTTCTGCCTATCTTGGCCCTCTGCTTCCAGTCCACCTGCCACCAAGAGGCTGGGGCTCACAGCCTACAAGGCCTCATGAGGCTTTTCTCTATGACTGACATCACCCTCCTTTTCTTGACACTGGCTCCCAGCTTTCCAACAGCAGGGAATTGACTCCCTTTGTCATTCCCTTCAAGAGGAACACATCCCATTTTTTCCCCTCTCCACATGCCAGGAGGCTGAAGAATCCAAAGAGCATCTTCCCAGGGGACTGTCCTAGCCTCTGTGCCTGGCCTCCCTTAAATCCATCCTTGTCTGCAATTCAGCAGCATCTGATGAGCCTTTCAAATATCACTTTTCTGGCCCCACTTCAGACCTACTCCATTAGTATCTCTGCACAAAAGTTTGAGCATCTCTGGCCTAAAACCACACTTCAGGGCAAGAAAGTCCCCAGGCAAGGCTACAGCTAAGGTTTCCAATGCCACCCACAGATCTGGACCCTAAGTGAATGTGGTTGGCTGTGAAAAGTAAAAGTCATTCTCACACGGAAGTCCTTGTCTTGGGGAGCTTACAGTAGACTAACATCTGTAAAGTTGAACATAAACTTGTCCTAACAATAATACCCATCACTTGGACAGTGCTTTGCAGGTCACAAGGCACTTTAATGCTACTTCATGTATTCCTTTTGACAGCACTGTAAGGTCACTGGAACAACTGTTATTATCCCCATTTCAGAGATAAGGTAAACCACAGCTCAGGGTGGCTAAATATCACATAACAGGTAAGTTGCCTAGAAGGGACTTGTACCCAAGGTATCAAACCCCAGATCCGTTAGGTGGCCAGCAGGTAATGACTAATGGTGACAATACTTCACGCAGAGGATGGACCATCAGCAAAACAGACTCATGAATTTGGCCCTGAGTGCAGCATAAGCCACAGCTTACAGGGCCTTCCCCTGGGTCAGCATCTGACTATGGGAAAGCCCCAAAATTTCTAGCTTACATTGCATGTGGCAGTTAGACTCTGGGACGTGTTTTGACCCATATCATGTTTGAATTCGTGAGAGGCAACCTGCAATAGGTTGTCTTTTTAGTGTAAATTTCTGATTTGAGGACTAGAGGTATTGAGATTGTGTAGAATTAGAGGAGAGGCCTGCGGTAAGGGAGAACAGCAGCTTTCTCATCATCCAATCTGGAAAACTCTGTGCCCTGGGCAGGCCACTTAGACCCACCCAAAACCTGTCCCAGGGACTTGCCACAGGACCGCCAGTCTTGGGGAGGCACACGTGGTGGCATGCCAGGAGCAGGGGTTTGGGGTCAGAAAGAACTAAGTTTAAGTCCCAGCCCCATTACTTGACTGTGGAACCTCACAGAGGTATCTTAACTTCTGAGTCTCAGCTTCCTCCTTAAAAAGTGAGGAAAATCTCTACTTTTCAGACTTGGTATAAAGCTGATACAAGATGACTTATATGAAATCACTGGCCCACTGGAGATGCTTAAATGGCTCCTGTTGTCCTTGACCTTTCACAGCCCCCAGATGAAGATGACAAGCAACTCACCCTACCTCCTCCAAGAGGCCCTGCCCCATGCTATCACCAGCAGGTTCTCAGGTATGACCAACAAGATGATTGTTTTATAGTGCCCAACACAGAGAAGCCAAATAAACGGTTAATTGCTTGATGCTAGGAATCCATCAGCAAATCGCTGGCAGACTAGAGGCCCACGTCTATGCTCTAACTTCTTGGTTAAAGTTTCTGTCACTGGCTGACTTTACACTGAGGTCACTACACAGGTGGATGGATGGTTAAATCTTCCAGCTATTACCTGGGTTCCAGTATGTGGCTTTCTGACCTCCACTGGGCAGCATTTCTCCCATCCCTGCCTCCTCTGGTCCCCTCCTTAGCTGTACCCCAACTGCCCCTATAGTCTGCCTTGCAGATCCAAGAAATGGGACTCAGGAGAATCCTGTCCACCCTGAAGAGGGCCAGAGAAACCCAACTAAAGGCCTCATGGGGGATGGGAAAGTGATAAGTAGAGTGATTGGGACCCTTTTCACTCTGTGCTCTGAGTTGGATGCCTCTGTACACACTGTGCTCTGTTCTGGGAATGGCCTCTGCTCTCCATTGAGCATCCAAATCCTGTTCACACCAAGACCCAGCGCAAATGCACCTCTTCCAGAAAGTCTTCCCTGATTCCAATGTGCTCTAAGTTATCCTCCTACCTCCCAACTCCAATGGCCCTTTCTATGGTCAGACTGTTCTTCTGTCCTAGTTACTCTCTATCTTTTATCTATTTGTAGTAGGGAGGCCAACTTTCTTCTGCCTACTCACATGCCTTCTTAGAGAGGAGAGGAGAGAATAAGGGAATAGGAAGGAAGGTGGAATGGAGGGAAGGAATGCAGAAAAGGGGAAGGAGAGAAATGGGTGAGAATGTGAATGTACCCAAGAGAGATGATGGCTTTTAGAGCTCATTGCTCTTTTCCTGCCCTTTATATCTGCAGGATATCTGATTCCTAACACTATCCCCCTTTTTCACTTGAGCAAGTTTGGGTGAGTCTATTCCTTGTAAGCAACAATTCCTGAACACAAACATATCTTATCCCCCTAAAAGGTCCCTGAGGGTTTAGAACAGTACTTTGGAGGTCACACTGTATTTTTTACTTTTTAAATTTTTGCTTATTATTTGCCCTAAAAGAGCAATGATTTTCCATTTTGTTCCCAATTTCCAGCTGTTTGAAGTGCCTGGTACCTAGCAGGCCCTCAGTAAATATTTGTGGAATGTAGAACACATAAATATTGGCTAATGAATCCGTGGGAGAATATCTTCTTCCTGGAAAGAAGAAATCACAGAGGTCATAGTCAATGTTATAAAAAGCAGGGTTTGGCCTGGACACACATCTCCCTCAACATCAAAGGTCAGGGGCAGCCTCTGAGACTTGAGATGTTCTAAGACTTATGAAAAGGAAGTTCTTCAGATATTGAGGAGTCAACGCAAAACGGATCCCAAGAGGCTGTACAGCAAAGGCTTAACATAATTCATGGTGGACATTTGGGAGGGGAAGTGGGAGTTCCTCTTTGAGGGTGTGGCTATATTGTGCTTGTCACCCAGAGGCCCCATGGGTCAGAATCCTGGACTGAACCAGCCAGCGTATTCAGGTGTTCTGACTGAGTGGTCGACGTGGGCAGTTCAGACACTCAATGACAGGGCCTGTTGGTGGAACCATGGGTCTCTGGATCTGTGCAGGCTTTTTTTCCAAAGTGTCATCTTAGGCTGCCCTCCATCATCCTGTGTGCTAGGCAGCCCCCTGAACATCACTGTCTCAACCAATGGACAGGTGAGCCAGGGACGAGCTTCCTACCCTGCAGAAATGCCTGGTTCTTCCTTTGAGAATCAGAGGGGTAAAACCAGCAACCCCCAGGGGACAAGGCAAAAGGAGTTTTTACAGAGCTGATGTGGTCTGACAGCTTTGCTGACCTGGAGTCAAGGGCTCTGCTTACTAACTTCGACTGCTTTTCTGGAGAAGTTAGTCACGGAGTCTGTCTCAGAGGCAGCCATGACCACGCATTTTGCCAAGTATTTTAGATCTAAGTGGGCAGGAGTGGTTGTATGACTCATGACAATGAGGTCTGTGCCACCAGCACCAGCCACAGCAGCTCTCCGTCTGCTTGGAGATGCTCCACAGCTCCCCATGGCAAGAGTGTATCCTGGGAACGATGGGCATGACTCCCAACTCCCTAACTCAGGATGCTCCCTGTACTGGACAGGTGATGGATGGAGGTCTAGGGAACAAGTGTGTCCAAAGTATTCCATGATGCTCTAATAGGTACTATGAGGGGGAAAAGTTCCAAGGTTAGGTAAGTTTGAGTCACACTGCAATGTTAAATGGGTTGCTTTACTGCAGGACTTCTCAGAGCCTTAACATGCTAATGTGCCTTACGAATGTCTAAGGGGAAGACATTATATGCAGCATTTCTTAAGCCAGTTCCCCCAGATCCACTCTTTTGAATGAAAGAACCCCGTCTGGAAAACACTAAAATTATATCAATGTGTAGGGTATAGGATGCTCTCTGTATTTGTGTATAGCCCTAACAGATGGTCAGTTGTTTCCTGTTCCAACTGAAGGGGACCTCTTGTCTCTAACTCATTCACTGAACCCCTGGAATTTGAGATTTGAGGACTCCATTGCAGATGCATTACCCCCTGGTGGACAGGCCAGGATCAATCCAAACTTTGTGGCTATAGCCATCCCCCTGTTTGTGAAGCCAAAAGAAGTGATGCATATTGCCCTCCCTCCAAAAATCTGCTTCTAATGTTTGTGGTTTAATGGGGAGAGAGAAAAAGAGATCACAGGTAACTTCTCTATGCACCACACATAGGCTCCTGAAGGATGGTGTGAAAATAAAACCCTAAAGGACTTCCATTTTTCACTCATCCTCATTGCAGGCTGACCTCATACTGATTTCATCATCTCTTCCTGGCTGATTTTATTTTTTGAACTCTTACATGAGCTCAGAGAGCTGACATTTAAAAGTACCCCTGAGATAAACATTTTTGCAATGAGGACAACTGCTCATTGGCTCTTGCCTTCTTTTTTCACATCACAGATCCTTAGTCAGGGACCACACCAACAGAGAGGTGCTGGGGTCTGTCTGGAGAGGTTGTTCCACTGCAAAAGGCCCAGCCCTGGTGATAGAAAACTACTCTGTTCCTGGCATGGGTTCAAGGCACTGGTAATGGGATAAGTCCAGATCCTTCCTGGATCCAGCTAGAGTCCTGCCAGCCCACAGGGGCATATATTTTTCTAGCCTGACATGTTGCTCAGAATGCTGAGAAGCTCATGACTTATTGCAACCTAGAGACAGAGGACACCTGGAGGGCAGGGATGCTGCTGTGCCTTGCTCATCCAACTTGGCATCCCTCTGAGGTCGCACCAAGCCAACAGCCCTGAGCCTGGGAAGACTTAAATGGTTGTTGAGCTGAATGGAATTGACACTCAGATCCTTAAGCTACAGGGATTTCTGAGTAATTATTTTCAACTTGGTTTGAAAAACCAATACCCCTGGAATCTGACGTGAGTCAGGATAGTCGACCACCTCTTCTGGGTTACATTAAAAGAAGGCCCAGCTCTTCTCGTGCCTAACCTGTTCTCCCCTTGGCCTGGTCCTAGCTAGAGTTTGAGGAGTTGTCCCCTTGGGGTCTCAGCAGCACGCATGGGGGAAAGGCAGGCCTAGGAGGGGAATGGACTTGCTGGTGTCCTGACAGCAAGACGATGTGGGGAGGGCACCCAAGTGGGAGCACATTTACTTAAAAGAACTCAGATTGTGGAATAAAAATACATATGTAATGTCAGTCCTCAGTGGTTTGCATAAATGAGCAGGGGCTGAGGTGTGAGTCATTGAAATCTATGGATGTATCAAAAAGGATTTAGATGATTTTCTCTTGGGTTCAGACACACGTCCCCAGTCTGAAATGCTCAGCAGTAGAAAGAGCACTGGCTTGGAGTGGTCCTAGCTCTGCCACTGACCAGTCACTGTGTGACCTTGGGAAAGTTATATCCTTCCTTGGTTGTATCAGATCAATGGTTCTGAAATCTGGCTACACGTCAGAACCCACTGAAGAGGTTCTCTAGTGAGTGAGAATTTCCCGTGGCAGGGCTAGAAACTGGCATTTGCAGCAAACTCCCAGGTGATTCTGACATGGGCAGCCTGACCCAGGTCTGCTGACCAGGCTCTCAGAACCCCTGGATGGATGGATGGTGAGGTCACTGCTACTCTGCTGTCCCCTGTGCATGGACTTGTGCTCACACATGAGCATGGCCACACACACCAGCTTCCTGTGCACCTCTCTGCCTGTACTCACACTTCCAGCCAGACTCAGCCCTCCTAGGTGCTGCCTGGGATTGGAGTGGGGGATGACCCTGGTGAGTCTCTCCCTCAGCCTCTGGTCCCTGAAGGATGACTAAGAGGAAACGCGCAGGCCCTGCAACCACCTTTAACTCTTTCTTTCTTAGATCTGACAAAAAGCTGTCTAGAGTTGGGGTACACAAAGCCGTCTAGAGTTGGGGTACACAAAGCCAAGCAAACATTTATTGAGCAACCACTGTCTGAGAGCACTCAGCAGGGTGCACACACTGTATAGCTCCTTGCTAGTAGGAGCCAGGCCTCTTCTCCCAGAGCTGGGGTCCATGCTGGTGCTGACTCAGGCACCTTGAGTGGCCGAGCGTCAGAAGGGCCATAATATCCCCACAGGCTCACTTGACGTAGCTTTCCTCGTGGTTTCCTCACCCACCAGCCTCCTCCACCAGTCACCCTGCCTGGTTTTATGGCAGAGCATAAAACATGAAGATTAACAAACTGGGCCATTTAAGAAACTTAAAACACTGAAAAACAAACTGCAGATGGGCAGATAGGATGAGGCAGTTGGTTGGGTTTTACTTTTGGAAAAGGCCAGTTCTCAACCCCCTCAGAAAGATCACTTCTGTTACTATGGAATCAAATGCTACATTTTCTCCTCGGTATCATGATGAATACATGACAGCCCAGAACATGGGAGGCCCTGAGCCTCGAGGAGGGGAGGGGGCCCCAGAGGGACCTAGGCCTGTTCGGCTAAGGCTGTGTGGCACCCTGGCCTGAAGCTGGAGGGAGCAAAGCACAGCACTGTCCTCCAGGAGATGCCAGGCTCGGGAGATACAGCAGTAAACTCACAGTGTAAGCACAAAGTGCTAAAGTGGGCCTGGGGTGGGAGGGTGAGGGCAGGAGCCTGTGGAGTCAGCATGGGGTGATGGCATGTGCACACGCTTTGGAAGTCAGGCGGACTTGGATCGTGTTCCCCAAACCTCAGTTTCAGCACAGAATACAACTGCTTTCACAGAACTGTTATGAGGATTAAGTTGGATAATGTAAGTAAGCCCTTAAGGAGAGTGCTTGACTTTAATAGTTGCTCAGTAAATGTATTATGTATTACTCTTTGTGGGGGCTTGAGATGATTCTAGAAGGATGAGCTAGAATTAGGTACACAAGGTGAAGGATTTGGGCGAGGGTGTTCCAAACAGGGAACAGCCCACGCCAAGACACAAAGGCAGAAATGCCAGCCAGGGAAGAACAATGTCTTTGTGGGGCAGTCCTGGTGAGAGGAGCTGACACTGATGGAGAGCTCTAATGTGCCAGGCGCTGTGTTAAATGTTGGACCTGTGCCATCCTTAATGAAACCCCAGCAGGTGGGTACATTATTATCCTCATTTTTCAAATAATGAAACCGAGTGTAGAAAGAGTAAGTGACTACCCAAGAGGACAAAGCTGTGGAGCCGTGAGCCAAACCCGGGCAACCTGAGTCCCTGCCCACACCATGTATGAAGCCATTCTTCTAGGGAAAATGCCTTGGGTTTTAGGACAAAGGACAGTTTCTCTCAGTATATGTTGATGACCTCCACTAGTGTCTTTGTGTCCATTGGCAACTTCTCTAAAGAATTCAGGGGCAGCACTAGGAAGTAGAATATCTGGCTAAGGGAAGGCAAGAGGCCAAGAAACCGAGATTCCCAGAGGATTTAAAGAGGGAATGCCTCTCTAGATGCATTCGGCTGTGTGGTCTTTTAACTTGTCAGGATGGACCAATGACTTAGGGTGAAACCCAGACTTTGATTGATTAAGGTAAAAAAGAGGGCTAGCAACACATGAGCCCAACTGTTTGGCTTATTGGAAAATCCTGCCTCCCTGGAGGATGCTGAGGTTACCAGTTACCCTGTTGGCCACTTGTGACCTCTGGGTCCAGCACTAGTTAGGAGGAGTAGGAATGCACAGATGTCCCAGTGGCCTTCATCCAGGAAAACCCTAGAGGCTAGAGCTGTTCTGTTCTCAGGGGACCTGGTCCACTGGCTCTCAGCACACTGCTAACAGGCAGGCCCCTCCCACCACCATGCAGCATCTGCACTTTCTTCTGGCGTTAATCAAGAATGACTTGTCTGACCCATCAGTGACATCCCATCATCTTATTAACTGGCATCTTATTCACTCTTATAAGGCCCCTCCTAGACTGGTGGGCATGGGCAGTAGGTGGATTGGACATATCTACTTTTGACAGACCAACCTGGGGCCTGAAAGACTCCCAGAGATGCTCCTGTTCCTCTGTCTTCAGGAAGGTCCAAACCCAAAACAGATGAGTATCCTTCCTTCTCAATGCCATCCAGAGAATGAGATGTGCCCCTGGGTTGCTACTCAGGGAAGAGATGGCGCTGCTGTGCAAGAGTTGCTATCCTCCGGCATTTCACTAGGGGCCACATTTGTCACCTTCTCCTTGTTTTGTGCTCCCTCAGTGTAGTGGACTGAATTATGACCCTCAAAAGACACATCCACTCAGAACTTCAGAAGGTGGCCTTATTTGGAATAAGGTTCTTTGCAGATGTAAGCAAGGTAAGGATCTCAAGATGAGATCATCCTGCATTAGAGTGGGCTCTAGACCAGTGATGAATGTCATTACAAGAGACAGGGAAAAATGCAGAACACAGAGAAAGGCCATGGGGAAGACGGAGGAGATACTGGAGTTACGTAGCTACAAGCCAAGGAATGCCAAGGATTGCCGACAGCAACCAGAAGCTAAGACAGGCCTGGAATGGATCCTCCTCCAAACCTCCAGAAGGAACCAAGGCAGTAGACAACTTTATTTCAGACCTCTGGCCTCCAGAACTGTGAAAGAGAAGCAATTTGTTTTAAGCCACCAAGTCTGTGGTCGTTTGTATGGCAGCCCTCAAACTAGAGCACAAGGTCTGCTTCACCACTTCCTCCTGTCTCCCTCCCCTAACGGAGGCCCTGTCCACAGCCCTGCCCTTTGCGCTCAGGCCTCCACCAGCTGTTCTCCCTTCTGCTTCAGTATTCACCCTCATGCAGCTGAAGCCGGCATAGAAGCCAACAAGACAATGGATGCAAGTGCCCACACCCGCCGTGTGCTGGTTTCAGACCCTGAGGAAATTACTTGATCTTTCGAAGCCTTAGTTGTCTTCTGTACAAAGTTCCTACTTCCTCTTCCTGTGGAGTTGCAATGAAATAACATGAGAGAAGCCCCCCTCCCTTCACATTTATAAACCAATGCTGCTTTTCTTTCTAGTCCCAGCCTGAATATTCCCACACTAAGCATGGGTACATCAGTGTTTCAGAGACCCCTCAAACTCTACTGTCCTAGCCAGAGCAGTCTCCCTTCCCACCTAGTTCTTCTTCAGTGCAGGTGAAGTAGATAATCAGGCCGGTAGGAATCAGAACCCCACTTGGGTGGGTGGGAGGAGCAACCAAAGAGAGGCCAGGTAGAAGACTATGACTAAAGCTAATCACAGATATGGAGGGGATGGCCCAGGGAAGCAGAGGAGTGGACAGATAAAACACAACATGGCCCACTTCTAGACATACACACCAGTTCATGATGTAAGGAGAAACAAATATGAGCTGCAAACTGCACCTCATTCATCTGAACCTGAATCAAGAATGACTTGTCTGACTCATCAGTGCCATCCCATGAAGACTGGCATCATCTTACATCATCTTATTCACTCTTATGAGGGTCCCCACCTATACTGGTGGCCATCTTCTTTTGACAGACCAACTTCGACCTGTGGCCTCACCTGCACTAGGTCCCTGAGGGGCATTTGCAGCCTTGTGGGTATCCCTGGGAGACGCATGCTAACTAACTCACTCCTACAGGGCTTTGGCCCCTAATGTTGTCCCCCATCCTAGGAACCAGATGGAAGCATGTGCAAACCACAAGCCTTCCCTTAGCCCTTCCAGAGGCAGTTTTAGGAGCCTGCTTGCCCGCTTATGTCTCCACTCCCAGGAGATTCTACTCTGATCCCTCAAAGGAGGAAAAGTCTTACAGACTGGATCTTTGAACCTCTCCCTACTTCCATTAAAAGCTCCTTGAAGCATGTGGCCTCACTGGGCAGCCCTCAGGACTCCTGTCTTTGCCCCTTCACTCTGACAGTGCATAATGGGAAAGCCTAGAACCCCTAGAATGAAGACCATGCCGGTAAAGACAGGGGAAATAGGGTAAGACTGCCACATAGGACATATTTCATTCTCATGTTTTGAGGACACACACACACGCTCAGCAAACAAGATGTCCCTTCTCGGTGCCAGTGTACCAGCTGCACACTTATCTCCTCTTACCAGCTACTCCCGGCCCTCACTCCCCCTGCTTTTTTTTCCCCTTAGTGACTGACTGACAGGTATCTTATCCTGGGTAGAGGCCCGAGGCACTGGATCTGAAGCCAAAAACAGCTGAAGGGTGGTGGGAGTAGGCAGTATTCCCATCCATGCTGCCTGAGCCCTCTGTCTGCAGGGCATATGCCCAGTGGGGAGCAGAGCCACAGCCTGTCCCCTAGGTGGGGAAGAAACTCTCAGCCAGTGAGGGGTCTGCAGTCCAAAATTCCCAGGGAATCCCCCTGGAGCTGGGCAGGCCCTAGTCCCAGGCCCCCTGGGGAGAGCCTCTGTTTTGTGATGGATTTCACAGGACTTCACAGCTTTGTACGTCCATTCTTTGACCAAACCTAAATTTTTCACTGGGGTTTTAAGCCTCAGGTCCTTTCTTTATGGAGAGGTGACGTTCTCTCCAAAACTTCATTACACAAGGAAACAGCTCTGATCAGCCATTCAGACACTCTTTATGCAGTGCCTACTGAATACAGAGCAATGTATGAGATAGTTGGTCCACATTTAAAGAAAGCTAAGACGCTTCCTCTTAGAAGCTGATGATCCAACAGCTTTCCCAGCCTGAGCTGATCTGGGAAACAGCTGTATTTTACAGAAGGACCAACTGAGAATGAGAAAGGGAAGGGGGATGGGGGCAGCGCCCATATAGTGTTTGCTTCTCCTTGGAGTCTGGATGGTGGTTCAGAGGCTGTTCTAGAGCAATCCAACCTCTCTTTAGAATGCTGACACTGATTTATGGAGTTGGCACTGCTCTATTCTTAGCCATGGATGGGGCCACCAGGCCATGACGCCACTCTCCTAATGAGAGGGGGCAATGGAGAGTTCCTAAGCAGCTGCCACCAACAACTCAAGTCCTTTACTTTATCCAGCTTAGTCATGACAGCAGCTCTGGGAGATGCTCTGTTGAATGTGCTTTCATGAGGAATTTTTCCACTTGTGAGAGCATTATTCCCAGTTTACAGATGTGATGGTGACTCAGAATGGTAACTGGTCATTCACTTGAGTTCTTGGTATATAGTGCTGACTTCAGTCCCTTAGGACCTGGACCATTTCTAACCTACCTCTCATTAACACCTAGTATATTTACACTGTGTTCAATTTTAGCACCTGAGACTATCAATATATTCACCTATCTATCTTTTTATGTGTTTGAATTATCTCCCTACTCCCATTGTCCCTCCTTCCCTCAATGATAAGTCTCCTTGCTAGAATAAACCCTGCCTTGTTCATTTTTGTGACCCCAAAACTAGAAGGGTGCTTGTCACACAGCAAACATTCAGTGACTATCTGGGGACTGACAGATTGCATGACTTGGGCAAGTCAATTAACTTCTTTGTCTTTGTCTATTATAATTTGGAAATAATATGCTTTACAAGAGAAATATGAGGATGAAGTGAGACAGTGAGCCCCAGGATGTGTGCATCAGCTCTTTATGTATTGCCAATTAGCACCAAGTCCACCCTCCACACTCCGCTGGCTGGGCACTGGCCAGTCAGTTACCCAGACTCCCTTGCCGGCTAGTTTCCTGTTAGGGTCTGCCAGTGGCAGCTCTGGCAGACTGACAGGCGGGAGGAGGAGAGAAGGGGCTTCCTCCCTGCTTTCAGCTCCTGTAGTATGGCTCCAGCAGCAGTGGTCAGCTTTAGTCCCACTCTCCAGCAGTTTCTCTGGTCACTCCCTGCACAAGCTTCTTCAGTTCTCAGCTGTGTACCTGGGCAGTCAGGGTGCAGCTCCACAGCTCTCCCCATTCTCCGGGACACAGGTCAAGCCAAGCTCTCTTCCCAGAAGTCTGGGGAGTAGCTACACGTGCCTCTTCCTCAGAGGTCCTGGCACAAGATATGCAACACCCCCTTCTCAGAGGGCTGCATGGAGCACCCACTCACCAAAGCTAGGGCCCCTCCTCCAGCCTCCTAGGTTTTGGTAATACTGCCCTTTTGCGCTCCCAGCACTGGTAGAGAATGCTGTTTATTTCCATTATTTCCATTATTAATCCCTGGGTGTCCTCAGCATCCCTTTTTGCTCTTTTAGCCTTTCAACTCCAACTCCATGATTTAAATCCTCTCTTAAAAAATTAGTATAGTTTCAGTTTCTGTTTTCCTGACTGGGTCCTGAGTGATTGTGTGCAGGAGGGCGCTCCGGTTCAAGCCTAGCAAGGGGGTAGATGCTCCCACTGAAACCTATAGTGGGAGCTGATACCTTTCTCTCAAAGAAACTAGTAGCATGAGAAGGAAAGACACTTGAACTCCCACCTGGTAACTCAGTCCTCATTTTATGGGGGGCACTGGCTAATGTCACCCTTGCCACTGTCAGTAATCAAGGCTTTGAATTTCTCTCGGTTTCCTTGGTTACCAGGACTTGGGGAGAGGGCATGTTTCTTCCTTGCTACTCAGTCTATTTTTCTCATTCAGAGGATCTGCTGTTCCTAAAGCTTTCAGAGAACAGCCTGCATAGAGGCCTGTGCAAGGAAGGGGGCAGAGTTTTATCCAAGTCTATCTTAGAAGTACTGTCTTTTGATGAATCATCACCTGCCCAACTGTGGTCTTGGGTGAAACTGTAATGCACAGCCATCTCCTGAGCAGGCTGATGCTAACCATTTTACATACCTTATCTTCCAACTCTCAACCACAAGCCTGTGAAGTCGAAACTATTATTAGTCCTCTTTCAAAGTTGAAGAATTTCAGATTTAGAGAGGTCCTTTGCTGATGGTTTACTCAGTCAGTCAGTGGGTGACCAGAACCCAAGTCTGCTGATATCCAAACTTTGCCACCAGGGCTGGGAACCCACAGGTTCCAGAGCTTAAAGGGCCCTGGGAAGGGAAAAAATTCATGCTTCTTTGCTTGGGAAGGTCATCAGAGCCCTGGAGAGAGCTGAGCACCTGAGGGCTAAGAGGGTCTTCCTGCTGGGCCCAAGAAACATGGGCAGGATACCTGCTTATACCAGGCTCTGAGCTTGTGCTAGGACATGAACTGAACTCCCCTGAGGATTATGCTAAACTGTGACTGCTGATAACCCAGACCCCGTGCTGCCTCCTGCAGGGGGACTGGGCTCCAGGCCTGGGGGTTGAGAGTTCAACTTTTCCCTCAGGAGTCTTCGTCTATCTTTCTCGCAGGCCTGCAAGATGCTCTTGCCAAATGGAGATGTGAGATGCATTGATTTCAATCCCAGATCATGCACTGAGGTCCTCCTCTTTTCAAGGCAGCAAGGCAAGTAATTTGTTTCTCAAACTGCACATTCACACAAAATCCTTAGTCTGACCCTGGCAGACTGTACACTCATGTTATTGCCACTCATTGCCATGGCGGGTGGGGGAGGTTGTATCCTTCTGGCCCATGGCCAGGGCTCAGGGACTAGTGGCTCCTCACTCCTGGAGCCCAGTCCCTATGTGGAGCATGGCCATGCAGTTTGCCAAGGGCAATATTTCCAAGGCCCCTCCTCTGCTTCCATCAGCCACACATGCCCGGCAATCCTTGTTCCTGGTATGGTAATCCACATCAATGCATCTGGGAAAGTGGCATTTTAATTTTCAGGAAGCAGATAATGCAAAATTAGGGGACTTGTGGTGCATATCAAGCAATTGTATCATTTCTACATATTTTTTCACATGCTATCATTGTAGGTATATGGATAGCCAGTTTGTGGATTGCTTTTCTCTCCTTCTGTCAATATACACAAATGGCAAAAGTTAGTCCTGAATCCAATATAGAACAGGAAGGCTGGTATGTTCACTCCAGGAGTAACCTTAAGTATTTCAGTTGACCTAAAGGTTGAAAGCAGTTAAGGATCTGGACAGTTTAGCTTTCCCATTCCACACCTATAAGCTACCCAGCCCACAGACTTGAAGCAGATATGCCCAATCTTGGCTTTCTTGGTTGGGGAGGAGGCAGAAGGAGCATAAACACTGCAGACTGGCCCCACCAAGATCTGTTCTGACCACCATGGGCTGGTACCTCCCACAGCTTACCCCGTGGGAAATCCCCAAGAGCCAAGGGGTCTGGAGAAAGCCAAAGTGGGTTCCTAGTCCAGGAGAACAGGGCATTTGAGATGGACAGAGGCCCTAAGAGAAGAATAGATACACCATAACCAGAAGAAGAGAAGGTAAAAGAGAAAGAAGGATCTCTAGCTAAAGGATTTCACTAGGAAGGTAACATGAAATAAGAAACAGCAAGAGAAAGGGCAGAGAAGAGGGCATAGAGCCATCAAAATGGCAAAGAAATGAGCCTTTATGTACCAGAATCACGGAGGGGAGGGAGCCCCACGTCACCTGATAATGATAGTGGCTGCCAGATGCTGGGCTCTCCTGTGTACTGGGTTCTGTTCTAAACACTTCACATACATTATTTCCATGACCTTGCACAACAACCCTATGGGTAGCCACTATTACAAATCCCATTATGGAGAGGAGGAAGCTGGGAACGAGACTGTACACAGTGAGTAAGAGGCTGAACCCAGGCTGGTCTGCCACCAGAGCCTGAGGGCTGCAGCGCCTGCCTGCCATCCAGCCTGCATCCTCCTGCAGAGGCCACGGGCAGCTGCCCCGTCCTCTTTGATACTAGGAGTAGAGAACGGACTTCCTACCTTTATTTGAAAATGAGACTCTCTTTCCTTTTCACCATTGTCATCTCCCAGCCTACTGTGCAACAGACCCAAGTAAAGTGTATTTCTCCAGCTGGGTCTCTACCTCACACTCTCTGTCCCCGTATTTTGGACCTTCTGCTCCCCAAGTGAGTCTCTCTTTGCTCCATTCTGGTACCCACTGTAAAGAGAACAATAGGCTCTGTGGAGTAGGCATGTGGGTTAAATGAGACATAATGTACATAAAGCACATGGCATCCCCAGTGCTCAATAAATACTGTGCCTGCCTCTCCCCACCCTGAATTGAAGGTTTTGCCTTCCTTTTACTGAGAATGTGGCCCTCATGTGTCACTGATTCAACAGGAGGGACAGTCCTATGCCTGGCCAAAAGAGCTGTATTTGGTCAAACCTGGGCACAGCATGGACACAGACCTGTTCAGAGAAAGACTGGCAGGGGAATACCTTTGTAGCATGAGTACAAGAATGGCCAAGAGAGCCCCACTCTGCCGAGGAGGAGCTTTGAGAAGCCGTCTTTGGAGCAGGAGTGGAATCTCTCAGGCCTAGGTAGGTGGATCCCCAGGCAGCAAGCGCAGCCACTTGGCATGAGCTAAGAACAGAGGGAACCAGAGAAGCTGGACAGAAGGTGGCTGAAGAGCTTCACTGCCCACCACTGGCAGGACCTACCTGTTCCTGTGTGCCTTCCTGTGCTCCACACCCCCAACCCTGCCCCATCTCCAATTTTCAATGACATTTCAAAAATGTTTCACCAGTGGAGCCCATTCTACACATGACTTTTTCCTGGAGTAAAGAATAATAAAAAGTTAACCTAACCAGATGAGTATAGCTGGCACTTGGGTTACTATTATTTATTTTATGAATGTGGACGCTGAGGCACCAAGGTGTTTGAGGCTACTAAGTGGTAGGGCCGGCTGGAATTTGAACCTAGGTATGAGCCCACAAACCCAAGGTTATTTTGCCTTCCTCCTGACCAGCTGCCAAGGACTCAGCCACTCATCAGTGGCAACTCCCAGGTATTAAATTAAATTGGCTGGTACAGCAAGAGCTGGAGCTGATGGTCTCAGATCCCCCTCCTATCTCAGGAAGAATCCTCTGTCCTGCTACTGCCCCTTGAAAATCAGGCAAGTGAGGAAGGGACAAACCACCATGCAAGTCAGGAAGTGATGAGCCACCCAAGATGGTGTTCAAAAGACATCTCTTTATATGTAATGGTTGCAACAATTATTATACTGCTCCAAGGCCACCAGGAATGACAAACACACTAAGAGGCTTATGGAAGCACTGAGCAGGGAATGAAACACTGCTATCTTTGGTATAGGGAGCAGATAATTACTGCCTACTGACACAACTCACAAGCTTCCACCACATTCCCTGCTGCAGGTATGGAGTGTCCGAGCCAGCTTCATGCTCTCATCTGGGCCCCTCTAGCCAGGAGTGTGAGGCCAAGGCTGGGGTATAGAGCACACCTGGGTCCAAGTACCTTCTGACTCCTTTAAAGTTGCTCTGCCTGGGTTTCAACAGCACCACAATCTGCTGCCTTTCTTTCCACCTTAACCCTGTATTCTCTTTGTCTTTTTCTTATTGATTTGTCATCTCTCTGTATGTATTTTAGGTCTTAATTTGTTGCTATTTACATCTGTGGAAAAAAATCTTTTCCTAATCCAGCAGTTGGCAAGCTGCTTCTGTAAAGGGCCAGATAGTAAATATTTTTGGCTTTGCAGGCTGCTCAATTCTGCCACGATAGCACAAAAACAGACAAAATGTAAACAAATGGTCATGGATGTGTTCCAATGGAACTTAAAAGTAGGTGGTAGGCCAGGGTTGGCTCAGGTTATAGTTTGCTAACCACTTTCTTGGTCCGTGGCTTGTCTTTTAATCATTTTTTATGGTCTTTTGTTGTCTCAAAGTTTTTCACTTTAATGATCAAATTTTTCTCTTTTCATTTATTGTTTGTACTTTTTAGTTTCTTTTTATTTATTTATTTATTTATTTTTTGAGATGGAGTTTCGCTCTGTCGCCCAGGCTGGAGTGCAGTGGCGCGATCTCGGCTCACTGCAAGCTCCACCTCCCGGGTTCACGCCACTCTCCTGCCTCAGCCTCCCAAGTAGCTGGGACTACAGGCGCCCGCCACCACGCCTGGCTAATTTTTTGTGTTTTTAGTAGAGACGGGGTTTCACTGTGTTGGCCAGGATGGTCTCGATCTCCTGACCTTGTGATCTGCCCGCCTCAGCCTCCCAAAGTGCTGGGATTACAGGCGTGAGCCACCACACCCGGCCCTTTTTATTTTTTTGGTAGGAGACAGGGGTCTCTTTATTTTGCCCAGGTTGGTCTTGAACTCCTAACCTTGAGCAATCCTCTCACTTCAGCCTCCCAAAGCACTGGGATTGCAGGTCTGAGCCACCATGCCTGGCTTGGTTTGTACTTTTTGTGTAGACTAATCACTATATAGGTGAGAATACTGAGGCCCAGAGAGGGAGAGTGGCTTACTAAGGTCGCAAAGAAGTTTCTCTGAAGCAGAGCTTTCTTCTAAGATTCTAAGATACCAACTTGGGATCAGACAGCCTTGGCCTTGAATTTTGGCTGTTATTTATTAGCAATGCTTGGACAAGCCTTCTTTTTGTTTTTTCTTTAATATAACCCCTTCTTTTCCCTGAAGTTAATCTTCCTTCCTTCCATCTTTTTTTTTATTTGCCTGGCTGCCCAATAAACCCATCATGAATTTATTTCACATATTTGAATACCTCTATCATGTGCCCCCAAAAATATTTTCCATGTTTCTAAAAACAGTAGTTCCATTTTTTTCCCCCAGAGACATCGTTTCTGGGGCCATCTGTCCCCTTGCCCAAATATCATCTGGCTGTTTTCCAGGCCTGGGATCTCCCTCCACTGCTGACCTATGGCTATTTATTTTCTTTTTCTTAGTTTTCTCCTCATTTTGCTGGAGCACATCCTCTAGTCGTTCTTCAGGAAAAAACATGCCCCAAAAGCCACTGGAATTCCTGCATTCTTAAAAAATATTTTTTATCTTCACACTTGAATAATAATTTGGGGCATGGAACTCTTGGCTGAAATTCATTTTTCTATCAGAATTTTCAATGTATTTGTTTATTAGCTTCTATAAGTCAGCACTGTCATTAAGATAGTCATTCTGATTACTAATCCTTTGAGTGTAACTTACTGTATCACTTTGGAAGATTTAAAGATTTTTTCTTAACCTCTTAAAGTTTCAGAATTTTACAACACTGTGCTTCAATGTGGGTCAAAGAGCTGGACCCTTGGTGGCCCTGCAATCTGAGGATTCTTGTTCTTCAGCTCTGAAAAGTGTTCTTATATTATTTTCTTTGATAGTTTTTCTCCCCTCCATTTTCTGTTTTTCTTTGAACTCCTATCAGTTGAAATGTAGAGTTGATGTTTTAATTTTATTACCTTCCTCCTCCCCTTTTTCCTTATTCTTTGTCTTTTTATCTTCTATAAGATTTCTTTGACTGCATTTTCCAGACTTTTATTATGTTTTAAATTTTCTGCTATCTTATTTTTTAAAACTCAAAAGCTCTTTGCTTCTTTTGAATTTTTAAATAGCATCCTGTTTTGTTTCATGGATATATGGACTTTATGTCTTTAATGTAAGCATTTTTCTTTTGATCCTTGCATTATCTCTACAGTCACTGGGTTGCATGAGGTAGAGCTGTGGAGCTGGAAATCTTACTATCCCATATAAGGACTTTAAGCCAACCCCCTGAATTTTAGGCTGCAGTTTACCTCCTTCTCACCCCATGGTGATTTGTGCTTCTAAGGACAGAGCTTTCTTGGGCTTTGCAAGAGAAAAGAAAAAAGGCTCCTTTTCCATTTTAGCCCCTTCTGCATCTGTGCTGCAGCTTCTTCCACTTTACTACATCAGTTACCTTTCCTCCGTCTGCCTTCCGTCTTTCAAAATTACTTATCTGCTACTTTCTCTTCTCCCAAGTTTTAACAAATTAGTCCTTCTAGGTTTCTATATTTTAAAAAATTGTTTTTATATCATTTCATTGGGTTTTCTGGAAAGTGAAGAAATAGATGTTTGTGGCTAATCTCCCACATTTAACACAATTTTATTATTTTAATTAATTTTTAAAATATATACCAGAAGCCCTTTCTAACTAACTAAGGATCCAGAAGTCATAAAATAAAAATAAATTTGGGTCCATAAAAATCCCTTCTGCATGGCACAACATGTGCAAGTTAAAAGACAAATGGCAAAATGGGAAAATACTTGTAATTTATGACAAAAACTGCTCCTAAAAATAATAAAAGACACCAATATTCCTATTTTTAGAATAGATAAGAGAGATCACAGAAAAGGAAATTTAAATGACTGGTAAGCATATGAAAAAATACCACTCTTGAAATGTATCAGATTGCTCAAAATCCAGAAGTCTCACCCCACACTTTGATAATAGGATGTGGGGAAACAAGCCTTCTCATACATCACTGGCAAGTTTAACCCTTTTGGATATCAGATTTCTCATCTATAAAATAGAGCTAGTAACAGTGCCTACCTGCTTTATACAGTAATTGCAAGGACTAAAAGAAATAATGCATTTAAAGTGCCTAACAAACACACAACTAGTACACATTTAATAAATGCTACTTATTAACATATATTTGCTTGTGTCATTATGTTTTTCTTCAATGATAATGCTACAAAAGACAAGATTAAATGCTGCCTTCCTAACTAACTCTCCCATAAGATCTCTGAGGACAGAGACTATATTTCTGTGTCCCTTCCAGGGCCCTGCATAGAGCAGGACACAAAGAAGTGTGTGGTCATGAAACACCTGATCTTTGAGGGACAGTATCCATTTGTATGTAAAATCTGTAATCTCGGGCTTGTGCTTAGTTTCTAATTAATTATACTGTGAATTGGCCCAGCCCCAGAGCAGGAGGGCATAGAAGGAACAGCTAGAATTCAGGCACCAGCAAGGGGAATGTCAGTATTCAAAGATGGTGCTCCATGATAAAGTGCAGCGTGCACCCCCATAGGCCAAGTGCTCTACGAGAGACAAGACACACCTCTCCAGGACTGTCACCAGTGCCCAGCTGTTAGTGTAAGAAAACAATGCCAGGGCAAGGAGAGGTGCCCTGGGCCAGAGCAGACATCACAATTCAATCTCCCTGGGTCAAGGGTGGGGAAAGCTTCTGGTGCCACCTGAGAACATGTGTCGAAGGCAGCAGCTCTTCCTGCCCCTACTGTGAAGTCTGAAGGAAGGGAGGGGGCTGAGGAGCAGTACAATGCTCTGCTGTCTCAATAGCAGGAGGGTCCTTGACTTCCTGGCCATTTCAGCGTTTAGGTTATCAACCTCATTTCTAATAACAATCGCCACGCCTAGAAGATTAGTAGGCCTATCACAGCCTTTCCTTCAATTCACTCCTATGTCAACTCCTTTGTTTCCTCTGATAACAAAGGCAGAGGAGTCCAAGGGTGATGCTAAAACCGGAAGGGACCTGGTCTAGTGCTCTGTCTTCAGGCCAGTGACTTTCTAAACTATCCCATGAAGACAGCCATTACTTCTGCCATTATTAGCAATACGAAAATTGACATTTGTTCCTACTTTGTGGTTGACAGAAAGCCAGCACACACATTATCTCATTTGGGATCACATATATGGGGCAAGTGTCCTTATTTTGTATAAATGAGATGACAGAGGCTGAGAGAGACAAGATCCATGGCTCTTCCAAACCCAAATGCTATTCTCCTTTTGAAGGTTTAGAGTTAAAAGTCCATATATACCTCAGTAGCCAAACCTGTATCTAATCATCTAACAGTAAATTTATAAACCTACACATAATTTGGTCTTTTATTTAAACCCAGTTCCACTGGCTCACTCTTTCACACACATGGAGAGCAACTGGTCAATACCATTCCTCCCTACACACACTTTGCAGAGCCAGGGACGGCAAATGATTCATCTAGAAACCTCATTGCTGGACTGCAAGCCCAAGCTCTCCTTCCCTTCTCTGGGGTTTGTGGGGTTGAAGGTTGGGAGGGTTGGGTGGAGGTAGGGGGTCCTTGGTCTGAATTTTCCAGGGCAGGAAATGGGGAGAGGAAGGTAGGGAGGTGGGGCGGCCCCTGCGCAGGAGACAAGAATTGATCTCACTTGCATTACCAACTTTGAAGAAAGAAAGACACATTTCATCCTCCCTCCCCTCTACCACTCCCTGCCAGGCTGAGGGTGGGGAAAAGAGCCGAGGGCACCCGCTGAGAAGTATCTGAAATAGGCAAGACCTGCCAGCTTCTCCAGAGGAGGCCAGTTTGCAGGCCTGCAGATTCTCATTCGTCCACTTGCTCAAGCCCCTGAGTTGCTGACAAAGCTGGCAGAGAAGAACTGCAGGCCTCACAAGTCTCTCCTCCCTGGGGGTTTAACATTCACCTAGTGTAACACATGGAGGTCAGACAGAGAAAACTAACTTCCAGAGAGGTGTAATTTTAGGCTAACCAAACAGCATCCATCCAAGCAACAGTGATAGAGTCTTGGGGCTGGCTGTCCCAGGAGCTGGGGAGCAGAATTCTGGTCCCATTGAAGCCAGAGGGTCGACCCTGGCCCAGAGGTAGAACCCATTTGGCTTTAGTTTCCATAGCCAAAAAAGAAAAGAGGCTAAAACCACTCTAAATCTGACACCATTGCTTTGAAGATATGATAAAAGGAAAGTGCCCAGATGATGGATCTCAGGGCTTTCAACTCTGAGGTCTCCTGATCTCTCCTTGGTCTTCCCTCCTCCTATGGGATCAGCATTTCCCCCATGCTCTGTAGCTCTAAGTCAGGGTCTCCTCTTGTGATCAGCCATCTCTCCTTCCTTACCTCCCCCACTGCCTAGTTATGCTGTGTGTCTCCCCAGTATCTGGGCACCTCGATCCTAATCCCACTCTGCTTCTACACCAGGCCAGCCCTAAACAGTGTTCCTCTGACTATAATCATAATCAGCAGCAGCACTGAATGCTAAGAGCCAGGTGATATTTGCATATTGTATTTTACTTTACCCTTGCAATGAGCCTAACGTAGGTGTTATCACTGGCCCCATTTGACAGATGAAGGGATTGAGACTTGGAGTGGTTAAGTGGAAGCAACAAGACTCGAACCCAGAGAGTTAGGTTCCAGATCCTGTCCTTTTGCCAATTAGTTCTAAACCTCGTCACTAGTTTAATTCATTCTGAAATTTCCCCTCTTCCACAAAGCCTTCTGTAGTAAACAGGAAGAGGAAGTTCCCCTTCCAGATTCACTCAGGCTTTGCCGCCATCAGCTCCATGAAATTTAGACACCAGCTCTTGCAGGGGTGGACCGTGCCTGGGTGGGGAGCATTCTACAGAGGGCTTGCTGTGCCCCTTCTGAGTCCCCAGTCATTGATATGTGCAGGGGATGCAAATAACCTTTAATATTTGCAGGAGCAAAATGCAGCGTGGAAAGTAAAATCTAACACAAAATAAGCAAAGCATTTGAAAGTCAAATAAAACTGACCTTTGCTTTAGCCACTATTTGGGATTATGTGAGCCATGGCTGGTGACTCAGAACCTGTTTGATGGATACCTAATGATTTAATTAGAACCACAAACTGTCAGGGCTGGAAAGGACTGCACAAATCACTTTGTTTAACTCCTCTGTGTTACCGATGAGGAAACTGAGGCCCAGAGAAGGGTAATGATATCTTTGAGGCCTCTTGGCCAGGAAATACTGGGAGCCAATTCTTCTGAGTCTCAGACCATGCATTACTAAGTAAATAGAAGGCAATAAAAACACTTACTAGCAATTCGTGCTAAGAATAGTGGCTAATTCTCATCACATCACCCCAGGTGGATGCTGTTATTTTCATTTTGCAGATGAGAAAACTAAGGCTCAAGGATATATCAGCAAGTAAGTGAAAGAACTCCAGTGTTGGGAAGGGCCCTGATGGGCATTTCCTGCTTTCTCTCTATCATCTCACATTTGCCAGACATGTACTGAACCCAAGTTCTATCAGGCATCACACCGAAGGCTGGGTGCAGAAGAGAAGAGAAAGCATAGTCCCTACTGTGTGGGAATTCACAGTCCAGGAAGTAAGCAGATATTTGTATGTGAGGGGTATGTGTGTGTGTGTGCGCGCGCACGTGTATGTGTGTAGGGATTGGCATAAGAATGCACTGAGGTCAGGTTTTCATATATATTGTTCCTTGACCAATATCTGAGAGGAGTCTGGTAGGCGTGAGCAAGTGCATCCATGTCCAGGATGGGTGGGAGCAGGTGCCAGGTAATTGGTGGATGCACGGGACCCCCTACCCTGGGAATGCACCCTACCCAACCCCAGCTCTGCAATGAGGTCCCTGTCCCCATCTCCCCCAGCACTGAGAAGCACCAGGCCTTTCCCTGTCAAGCACACAGACAGTCTGCCTGTAATAAGGCAGGCGGGCATTTACCCTGGCTTGACCCAGAGTCTCCTCCCAGATAGAGCTATTTACATCAAGAACTGTTCAAGGACAGGGACAGCACAAGCAATTACTGGTAGTAAAAACCCAAGCCATGCTCTGCTGTGCTCCCCCCACGCTGTTTTTTATATGGTCAATAAAGTGGCTGCCTGATTCGTGCTCTTGGCAGGCAGAGCTTAGGTGTAAGTAAGTGTTCAGCCAGGAAGCCGGCTGGCCACACAGAGGGAAAACGAAACATCTTCACCACGTTGCTGGTTTAATGCTCCAGCCCAGTGGCAGGCTGTGGGCTCCAGATGTGGCCTGTCTGCAGGAGCATTTTCTAAAAAGTCCCTCAGCACTAACAAAGATGAAACTCCTACAGCCAGGCCATTCCCTCCTCTTAGGAACCTATAAAAGGGCCATCAATGTGTCTTGTTCTGGGGACAGAACACATAAAAGGAGGCCTCCCTGCCCTTCCTCCCTCCCAATTCATCTGAGATTGAATCTATTCAGGCAGACATAATTTTCACAGAACGGCAAATGAGGTCTTCTTTTTTGTCTACCACTCACTCTTAAGTGTGCTTTAGCTATGATACTGGTGTATTCAGGCACATGGCAAGGCTGGACACAATAATGCAAACACAGGTATAATAGCATGTCATGCAGATACTAAACACAGCTCATCACATGGAGCATCTTGTGTGTTTGCAACAGCCCTTCACTGTCTCATTCTCCAAGCAAAGAAGGAATCCACTGTCTTATTCTCCAGGCAAAGAAGGGGTGTCCCCCATTCACCCTTTCTGGAGCCCATTTATGCTGCTTTTACTCTGGATGGCTCTTCCCTTCCCCCACTCCCATTGTTGGTTCAGACTTTCTCTATTGCAAAGGACTGAGGAATTCCACTTCTTCCATTGAAGTGGAATCAATCTTCAATGATTCCACTTCCTTGATTCCATCAAGCCTTCCTTGATCCTCCCAGCCAGAAGTGTACAACCGTTTTCTGAACATAGCATGATCTCTATTCCCCTCTAATAATTAAGAACAGGCTTCTGCTTGAAATTCATCTTTGATGTAAATATACTTTTTAATGAAACAGTAAACATTAGATCTTATATTTACATAGAGTCCGTAAACAGATTTTATAGTCATAGTCTCCATAAATTGACCCTATATAAACTTGCTGATCACTCGAATTATATTCAGTTCCTTTACTCTTGCAGGGTTACTGGACTGACCCACCAAAGGGTAAGGATTACCTTAATCATTCTTATATCCACTCAGCCATTCAGGCACAAGTACTGAGCCTGCAGTCGGAAATAACTAGTAATTTTAACTGGATTGGGTTAGTTTCTGGGAGGATTTCCTGCTAGGACAGTAAGTGTCCAACGGGTCTTGTTGTAACATTCAGATTCCCAATTCCAAAATGGAAAGTCTCTGTTGGGTTACTTTAACAGACCCTAACTCCTCCAACCAGCACAATTCCATTTCCCTGGGAAGGGCATAGGGCAGGGAGGACAAGGGTGGAGGAGGCATTTGGATTTGAGGCTCAAGACCAGGGAATCCTTAATCCGAAATGACAGCTGTCCTTATAAAAAGGGAAAACTTTGGGCTGGGTGTGGTGGCTCATCCCAGCACTCTGGGAGGCTGAGGTGGGTGGATCATTTGAGGCCAGTAGCTCGAGACCAGCCTGACCAACATGGTGAAACCCCACCTCTACTAAAAATACAAAAATCAGCCAGGCAAGGTGGCACGCCTGTGGTCCCAGCTACTCAGGAGGCTGAAGCAAAATAATTATTTAAACCCAGGAGGCAGAGGTTGTAGTGAGCTGAGATTGTACCACTGCACTCCAGCCTGGGCAACAGTGCCAGACCCTGTCTCAAAGGTGGGGGAGATTTTGACATGGAGACACAGATATGCATACACGGATGTGTTGATGAAGGCAGAGATTGGGGTGATGCGGCAGAAGCCAAGGAGCACTGGATTGCCAGCAAACCAGCAGGAGGTGGGAGAGAGGCATGGAACAGATTCTTCCTCACAAGCTTCAGAGGGAACCAACCCTACAGACACCTTGGTCTTGGACTTCTAGCCTCCAGAACTGTGAGACAATACATTTCTGTTATTTAAGCTGCTCAATTGGTGGTACTTTTTTACAGCCACCCTAGCAAACTAACACAGACTTAAGACAGACAATGGTGACATCATGAAGCTAAGTTAAGAGTCAGACCCATAATTCTATTAGTTTAAAAACCATATGTAGATACAGGGAAGTAGAAATGGGTGGGTGGATTGACAGATAGACGGAAAGAAAGAGAGATATACAAAGAGAGAAAAAGAAAGAGAAAGAAAGAAAGAAGAGAGAGAGAGAGAGAGAAAGAGAGAGAGAGAGAGAGAGAGAAATGATAGCTCTGACTGCTGTGTAGGCACTGTGCCTGGGTCTTCCCAAGCCCAGGAGCTCTCCCATACAGTGCTGGGGAGATACTATTCGTCTGTACCGTTGAGTCTTGGGAAAAACATCCCACAAGCAGACAATGTGATGTACATTGCACAATCACTATGCTAATTAGTCCTTGTGAGCAACCTGTGATATAGATACAGTCATGTGTTGCTTAACAACAGGAATACATTCTGATAAATGTGTCACAAGGCAATTTTGTCATTGTGTGAACATCTTAGAGTATACTTAAACCAAGATGGGATGGCCCACTATACTTCTAGGTTATATGGTATATCCTGTTGCTCCTAGGCTACAAACCTGTACAGCATGTTACTGTATTGAATACTATAGATAATTGTGTTTGTCTATCTAAACATATTTAAACATAGAAAAGGTAGAGTAAAAACACAATATAAAAGATAAAAAAAATACCACACCTGTATAGGGCACTTAGCAAGAATGGAACTTGCAGGACTGGAAGTTGCTCTGGGTAAGTCAGTGGTAAGTGAATGTGAAGGCCTAGGACATTCCTGTACACTACTATAGACTATAAACAGTATATGTAGATACATACAGGGAAGTAGAAATGGGTGGGTGGATTGATAGACGGAAAGAGAGACAGAAAGAGAGAGATATACGAAGAGATGTGCATTTAGGCTACACTAAAGTTTTATATATACATATATAAAAATATAAATAAAATTAAGTGTGCTACAATGTAACAATGGCTATGATATCACTAAGTGACAGAAATTTTTCAGCTCCATTATAATCTTATGGAACCACTACCATTGATGGCATTAGGCAGTGCCTGACTATCTTCTTATCCCTATTTTACAGAATGAAGAGGTGAAGCTCAGAGAAGCCTAATGCCACGTGGCTGGTAAGTGGTGTGGCAGGCATGGGAGTCATACTTGGGTCTGCTTGCCCTCAAACGCTGGCTCCTTTTACCACACCCGCTGCTCTGCACAGACTCTGTGCTCAAATAGTGAATTCAACAGTCGCAACCTTGTGACCCACACCAATTTTGAAGGTGACATGTTATGTCTTCACTCCATCTAATCCAGGCCAGCCCACTGCACTCTACAGCAAACAGAGGACAATTAAGGGTCATCACAAGGCCCATGCCCTTTGCCCCATAATCCCCACCAGCTTCCCTTCAAAATGCTGACTCTCAGAGCCAGCCTCATGCTGTTCACCTGGCCGCTTCTGGATTCTGCTCTTCCACAGAGGTCTGGTTCAGTCCACTGTGAACTGGCTCTCTGGCTCCCAAATCTCCCTTTATTTTGGCTGCTACAGATCTTGGCCCATGAAATTCACCCTTAGTCTATTGCTAGCCAAGCCAGCCTCTCCCTAGACAGCCCCAGACCATGGGGGAAGGAGAGGAAGCCAGATACTATTGCTAATATAAATGCCATCATACCTGGCCTGCCAGAAATCTTGTGGGAAATCACACCGGGGACCACCACCTGGGCCTCTGCTAAGATGTGTGTAAATCTTAAAGTCCTGGGGAGTTCAGGGGCTGTTACTCTCTTCAGGGGCCCAAGCCAGGTTCTCCTTCATCTCTCTAAATTGTACTCCCATTCCCAGGCATTGGGCCATCAGGGGAAGGTTAGCCTTAGCCCGGGGCCTATGGAATCTGGCTCATTTCTCACTAGGACCTTCTCATGCTCCTCAGAGATGCCAGCCTCTCTAGAGCCTCTGAGGTGTCTTACATGCTGTTCCTTTGACCTGAGTTGCCTTTCCTCCTCCTCTTTGCCTAGCCAGCTCTTACTTCCTTCAGGTCCTCACTCAAATGTCACCTCTCTGGGACTTACCCTTCACCTTGGTTTGGGTGTCCCTCTCTTCTACCCCTTTATCATGCAATGATACAAGAGTATCCCTGATAACACCCCTCAAGCGCTATGGTCATCAACTTTCTGAAGCCCTTGGCAGCTTAACAGTCCACTGTGGGCAGGGACTTTGCCTGCCTTGCTCACACTCTATCCCTGGGGCCTGCACACAGTAGGGGCAGGATAAACAACTGCTGAAGGAGTATATGATGAAGGCCACAGTGGGGAACTTGTGGCTCTCAGAGGCTGGTTAGTTTCTCTGGAGGAAGCCCCTGGACCCCAGGCTTAGACAGTTTCCCTCACCTAGGTGGCCACAGTCCCACATATGTTATTGTCCACAACGGCAGAAGGACAGCTGCTCAGGGCCACATCGGCCACCAGGTGGAATCACAACCCACAGGGCCCATTCCTGACAGCGAGCCAGGAGTGTACTCTCTGAGTACAACGCTCAGCCATTAACACCATGAAGTCTAGCAAAGAACATAGATGAGATGAAGTGGCCAGAAAAAAAGCCCTATATTCAAAATAGTAATCGTACATCTCCAGAATCCATAAAAGGAACATGGTAATGCTGCACCAACCATGAGTGGTGATATTTGCCTTTCCTTAAAACAACTCAAATAAAAATAATACTTCTATGAACTAAACATAAAACAAGGCAAGGGTCATTGAGCCCATGTGTGAAGTTTTCACATCAAATCAACACCTCCTTGGGGGCTGTTTTCTGACACTTCCTGGTACTTGAAATAAAAACTCCGCCTGCTTCAGGGCTGGCAGGGAGAGTGGGAATAGAGCCCAGGACACTGCTTAGAGGCTCACAGCAGAACGAAGAGGCTGGGAGAAAGAAAAATGCCTTCAGGCTGTTTCCTAAAAGTCTTCCTGGCCCAGAATCTGTTCTTTCCAGCATGAAAAGCAAAACTTCTGATGCTAGAGTGACTTTCCTTTAATTTTTCCTTCTGCTGGTATGACTGTCCATTCCTCCAAAAACAATGCTGTAGAAAGCAGAAAGTGATGGCAGAACTTGCTGCTGGTGTCACAGGTGGTTTGGCTCATACCTATTCAAGAGTTTCACCTTTGCTTGCCTGAAACATTCACTCCTAATGCCTGTGGCCCTTGCATTCCTGTTATAAGTTCATTGAAAGGGTTCTGAGAGCTGCATACCCACATTAACAGGAATCTGTACCTGCCTACAAGTCTTGGAATTTTAGTCTATCAGCTCCAGGTCCAGTGCCAAGGCCTTGAAGAAGTTACGAACAGTTGCCTTTCCCCACCCCTAGTCCCCCAACCCCAGCAGCAGAGCCACTTGCCTTCCCTTGGCCTGGCTCCCCTGACACAATGCAGATGACTCGTGCACATCCTCCTCACTCTACCTTCTCCATCAGGAGGGGTGCTATTGTGCAGGCAATATTCCTTTAACTGGGGTTTGCTCCTGTGTTTGTCAATTTATTTTATTCACCTTTAAAAAGTTTTTCTTCTCTACCTTGGTTTCAAAAACAACAACATATTCAAAGAAAGATGCTCGCTTAGATGCATAAACACAAGATAAATCATAACATAATAAGGACAGAAGGAAAATAAAGGTAAGAAATGAGATATAGCCAAGTACCGACCATGAGATTGACAGATGCCACCAATTTAGCTCTGAGTCTGGTAAAGGCCAAAGGAAAGATGGCAATATCAGCAGACACAGATTGGGAGTACCTAGCCCTTAATTCCCAAAGAGACCAAGTGTCCAAATCATGCTTTCAGCACTGAAGATGCAGTTCTGCTCTGACTTTGGGGAATGTGGTCTGTTCTCTCCTTTCTTCCATCAATATTAAATGAGCATCTTCTAATTGCCAGGACTGTGGTAGGCTCTGGGGATAAAACAGACATCAAGATGTGATCTCTTTCCTTGCTCTCCATAAAGAAATAGATCGTCTTCCTAATTGTTCTTGGCTTTGGGTGGTGAGTTTTTGTATAGAGGTGTCAGGGGTTAGGGAAGGGATGGGGGGAAGAACATCCCATCCGTCTGCGATTTTTTCTTCCCTCAACCTGCAATTCATGATCCTTCATTTTCAGCCCCAATAAGTCCTTACACTTCACAGCCCAATTCAAATGCCACCTCCTCCTGGAAGCCGTTCCATATATTTCCAGGCTGAATTATGTCTGCTCATGTTGTATTAAAGACAATATATTTTCATGGAGTGGGAAATTCAGAGGTCAACTACACAAAAGTTAATTTCATTGCAGACTGAGGCATCTCTGAGTGGAGCTAACAGGAATTCAGCACCAATAAATCAGACCTGTGTCCTGGGAGCCTAGGGTTCACATATTATCCTGTCACTCCGGTGGGAGGCTTCTCACGATTGTCCTAAACCAAAGGGTATGAATATCGACATTTTTTTCTAACCTACGGGGCTAATATGCTGCCTGCCCTGCTCCCACTGTGAGACACATGTGAAGAAGAGAAGAGGTCTTCTCCTATCTAGAGAGTATGGAGAGAGGCAACTGGGGTCACAGAAAGAGCTCTGGGCTGTAGACTTGCATGTGGACTCCAATCAACTTCTCTGTTTAATAGCTAATGGCTGTGTGTGCCTAGAGCAGATTACCAAACCCCTCCAAACTTTGGTTTCTAAAACAGCTGTCAGTAAGGGGAGTAAAGTAAAGTATAGTTCACAGAATTTTCCAAAACATCAATGTTTCGAGGTAGACAAAAGGGTTTATAATGATACTTGGTTTGGGATAGGTGCTCATGAAACATTTTCTTTCTTCCTGTTTTGTTTTTTGCCTTTACCTGGGGTTGGGGCCTCTGCTGCTTATTCATCACGCAACTTTAGGCAAGTTGTTAACCTAAAATTCAGTGTCCCTGTCAATGGATGGGTTGTGGAGGACTGAACACAACGGTACGTGCAATGAGCTTGTGACATCCACACAAGGGGTCAGAATATACATGTGCAGCATAATCATAAATTACGGTCTGAATTCATCCATTCACTCATTCTTCCAAACAAACAGGTAACCCATGGCGCTTGTGTGCCAGGCATTGTGCTATTGCTGGAGACGTAAAGAGGATCATGATACCATCCCTGCCTTCAAAGGAAGGCAGTCTATATCATTTTTGCCTTTATCTTTTGTGCACTCCACACTCTGCATGTACTTTGTCTCTCTAGGGGCATCTTCTCTGGAGGACACAACCAAGAAAGAAAGAAATGAATCTTGTTGACTTGATTTATGCAGTGCCTCTGTGTGGCTGATGTATAACCTCATTTTCCCCCAGCCATTGCTCTGATGGTGCTCTGGATGTTTAGAGATGTACACTATCTCCTCCCAAAGGGACCAATCCATGGTGATGTCTGACCGGCACAGACTACCCATCAGAGACCTGTGTTGGTCCTAGTGGGTGCAGAGGGCATGCAGCCAGGCCTGCAGAGAAAGCTTCAGATCAAGTCCACAGGAAGACTCTGCCTCAATAGGGGGCCTGACAGCAGCAAAGACTCATGACAGCTCAAAGTTCTGGGAATAGAAACCCCCAGCTATCTTCCATCAGGGGCAGAGATAGGCTTCCACCCACTCTGACAGGCTGCAGGGCTAGTTCTGGAAGAACCAATGTGCTGCCTACACCAGATGACTCACACTCAGGCACTTGAGTGAGCCTCCTGTCACTCCCTGCAAGAGGGTAGGGAGGGACAAGGAGCCCAGTTCTCTTTGCCTTGAGCCTTAGGCTCAATAGTCAGACTTAAATAACACACAATATAAATCTTAACAGGGCCAAGCACAGTGACTCACACATGTAATCCCAGCACTTTGGGAGGCCAAGGCAGGAGGGTTGCTTGAGGCCAGGAGTTCAAGACCAGCCTGCACAATATAGCAAGACCCTGTTTCTATTTTAAAAATTAAACAAAAAAAAAAAAAACGTAATGGGATTAGTTTGGCTTGGTTCAACTTTGCATTACTAATCTTTCATAAAAACATCCCCAGAAGTTTGCATCATAATCATTAGGTCATAATTTTCCCATCAAGAGCTAATTGTTATAAATAATCATGAGTTGCTATGATTTTTCAGGGCTAAGAAAGTGGGGCTAGAGGTTCTAGCCCAATTTTAGCAACAATAATCATCAAAACAAACCCACGTGTGACCTTCTGTGGGGCCTGGAAGGGAAACGCTCTCTGAGTTATGTAGCTCAACCAACAACCTCTGGGAGTGACTGGGATAGGAGGCAACCTCGGTGGAAGGTTTCCTGCCTCAGTAAGGGCTCTGAGATCAGGGCAACAGGGCCATTCTCAGACAAAAGAACGAAGACTTCAGGAGAAGCTCCAGGGGACATGCCACCCTGGCCTTAGGGATACAAAGGAAAGTAGATCCTGGGACAATGGAAACAGTCCCTCAGAGAAGGCAGCTAGGAAATTTATGTATCACATTCCCTTCTAAACAAACACTGCCCTGCTCTTGCCCCCTCCCCCCGCCATTTCTACTCAGTTATATTCCATTTCCAATACTTGGGTAGATCTTGCTTTAAGAAAGCATGTTGCACAGGCTGGGCGTGGCGGCTCATTCCTGTAATCCCAGCACTTTGGGAGGCTGAGGCGGGTGGATCACGAGGTCAGAAGATCGAGACCATCCTGGCCAACACGGTGAAACCCCATCTCTACTAAAAATACAAAAATTAGCTGAGCATGGTGGTGGGCATCTGTAATCCCAGCTACTTGGGAGGCTGAGGCAGGAGAATCACTTGAACCCAGAAGGCGGAGGTTGCAGTGAGCAGAGATTGTGCCACTGCACTATAGCCTGGGCGACAGAGCAAGACTCCGTCTCAAAAAAAAAAAAAAAAAGCATGTTACACAACCATCTAGACTTTTCTGAAACACATCAACAACTGTATGCTATTACTAAAGGGTTTACTTTGAGGAATGATTTACTACAGGGTTCTTCAAATAGTGAAGTCTTCCTTACAGGCATTTAAAATGGAATTGGGTTATGTCCTTTAACTTGCATAGAACTTTAACTTCCTCCAGACATGTCTACTACATTCACTGAGGCCTCCTGTGCTCATCTTCAGTTGTTTTCAGGCTCTATTGGTTGTGATGACCAAATTGTCTCTGATTACATGCCCTGTCTCTCCAACCAGGCTTCTCGAGGAGGCTTGCTCTCTCTGTTCCAACTATGCAGATCACTAGGGCTCTGCAAAGAGTAGGTGCTGGGCATACACTTATAGATAATCACGAGTTGCTATGATTTTTTGGGGCTAAGAAAGTGGGGCTAGAGGTTCTAGCCCAATGTTAGCAACAATAATCATCAAAACAAACCCATGTGTGACCCTCTGTGGGCCCTGGAAGAGGGCATACAGCACTAAGTTGACTGATCAGTTTATATCATGAATGATATGATGAGTTTATATCTTCCATTTGAGTTATATCTTCTATTTCACCACATACTGATTAATTTCTAAAATCACTTAGCTTTACAAGTAGCCCTTCTTTGCCTCCCAGGAAGCCTCTGGGGTCAGGTGAGATACCATGAGAAGAAAAAGCTGCCCTTATTTGCCAAACTTGTGTTTCCCTGAGGGATTTTGAAGAGCTAGGCCCTCAGCTAGAGCCTGGGGCAACAGAGAGGAGATCCCATTTCTGGCCTAGGGCTGAAAGCATATAACTGACTGGCAGTTATCCCTGTGCTCAACATGTAGGGGCTATAAGCGGCATCAGCCAAACCTGGATGGATCAGGATATGAATGCACTTTAGTCCGCAGACTGCACCTCAGCATGGCCCCTGCTGCTCCCCAACTCTCAGGGATTCAGCTTTTGACCAATGAGACAAGTCCTGCTCTAAGGCAGAGGCTGACCAGTGCTCTCCCTCCCTTTTTCCCTGGGCCTCATGTCACTCCTGAGCAGACTGTCTGTCTGTAAGAAGCCCTGGCTCCAGGTTCATAGATCCAAACGGCTAGGAACACTCCTTGCACAGTTCATCAGAAAACCCAGTTGCTGGTGTGGTGAAGTAACATTTTGAATTATCCCCTTCTGGTATTTCTTGTTACCCCTTGACACTTTCTTGATTCTACAGACCGGATCTGAGGCAGTGGATGTACTCAGGAACAGCAGATTCCCTTGAGGAGTGCTGTCCAAGAGAAATATAACACAAGCACAAATGTGAGCCACATATGTGAATTTTCTAGTACCTACATTTAAAAAGTCAAAAGAAATAGGTAAAATTGGCTGAGTGCAGTGGCTCATGCCTGTAATCCCAGCACTTTGGGAGGTCGAGGTGGGAAGATCACTTGAGATCAAGAGCTTGAGACCAGGCCTGGCCAACATAGTGAAACCCCATGTCTACTAAAAATATAAAAGTTAGCCAGGCGTGGTGGTGTGCACCTTTAATGCCAGCTACTGGGGAGGCGGAGGCCCGGGAATTGCTTGAACCCAGGAGGTGGCGGTTGCAGTGAGCTGAGATTGCACTACTGCACTCCAGCCTGGGTGACAGAGCAAGACTCCATCTCAGAAAACAAAAACAAAAACAAAAAACAAGGAAAAAAATAGGTAAAATTAATTTTAATGTTTTATTTAACATAATATGTCCAAAATATAATACTCAAATATGTAATCAGCATAAAAAATTATATATATAAAAAGTACTAAGTCTTCTATAAATATTATAAATATATGTGCATATAAAAATATGTGTATATAAATATATGTATATATGTGTATATAAATATATATAAATATATGTATATATGTATATATACATATATTTATATATAAATATATGCATATATTTATATATAAAATATATGCATATATGTATATATATAAAATATATACATATATGTATATATATAAAATATATACATATATGTATATATATAAAATATATACATATATGTATATATATAAAATATATACATATATGTATATATATAAAATATATACATATATGTATATATATAAAATATATACATATATTTATATATATAAAATACCAAGTCTTATATAAATAAAATTATATGTATGTGTGTATAAATATATATATACATATATATATACACACACACACACACACACACACACACACACACACACACATATATATATACACACTAAGTCTTCAAAATCCCTTGTCTATTTTATGCTGGCAGCACATCTCAGTTCTGACTAGCTACATTTCAAGTACTCAGTCGGCACATGTGGCCAGTGGCTACCACATTAGACAATGTAGCCCCAGAGCCAATGAAGTGTGAAGAGGTGGCTAAGAGGGAGCCACCCCTCAAGAGCCATGGGGTCAGGAACTGGAGAAGACTCAAGAGTCTGTGGGGATCAATGATATCTCAATGGAATCAAAAACCATTTTCAGATTTCCAGCGTGGTAGATGACAACTCCCAAGATTAGCCCCCAACCAAGGCACCAAATGCCTTCGCACCATGTAAAATTGCCCACAACTGCATTGTCCAGTATGGTAGCCATTGCTACGTGTGGCCGTTTAAATTAAAATTAATTTAAAATTAAATAAAATTAACAAGGCATTAGCTCAGTTGCATTAGCCACATTTCAAGTGTTCATTAGCCATATATGGCTGGGGGCTACTGCATGGAGCAGTGCAAATATATTTCCATCACCACAGAAAGTTGTATCAGACAGCACCAGCTAGCACTCGGAATCAACCCCTGAGAAACGTGGGGAGTGGCCCCAAATTTCCTGAGATAAAGATTCTGCTATTTGTAGGCATGGGGACTTATAAGGAAACCTAAACTGAATCATAGAAAAATAAGGTCATTTTAGTATACACCCAGACATGGATGAAACTGGAAACCATCATTCTCAGCAAACTAACACAGGAACAGAAAACCAAACACCACATGTTCTCACTCATAAGTGGGAGTTGAACAATGAGAACGTATGGACACAGGGAGGGTAGCATCACACACCAGGGCCTGTTGGGGAGTGGATAGCAAGGGGAGGGAGAGCATTAGGACAAATACCTAATGCATGCAGGGCTTAAAACCTAGAAGACAGGTTGATAGGTGCAGTAAACCACCATGGCACATGTATACCTGTGTAACAAACTACACATTCTGCACATGTATCTCAGAACTTAAAGTAAAATAAAAAAAAAATAAGATCATTTTTCTTGCATAACTCAATATGTGGAATAAGATGAATAATTTAACTTTTAATAGACATTCCTTTTAACTCTTGGTGAACATTGATTGCTTCATTTGTAAATTTGGAAAACAATCCGTATCACTGTACAAGGTGGTGTGAGGATCAAGTGAGACAAAGAGGTTCAAACATCTGACTCAAGGCCTGGCCCACTGGGCTTCCTTCCCTCCCTTTTCTAGCGCTATGTGTGTAAATGTCTGTGTGTCCCTCCCGTCTTTCCTATATTCCTCTTAAATGCAGCGGCATGCAGATTTTCACCCTCTGAGAACAAGGGCCACATCATTGCAGTACACTGGGAACATCTCTAAAGCAGATGGGACATTCTATGGCCAAACAGGACTAGTGAGACAGCAGAATGCAAACTGCTGAATGGAGAGAATAGGAGAAAATGGCTTTGTGGAAGGTACAAACAGCATCAAGATTTTTCAGGAGAAATCAAATTAATATGATCATCCAGAACTTACAGAGACAAAGAGAAAACAGGTGTGTAGAAAGTGAGGTATGGGAACGGGAATTGAGGACTTCATTGCATTATTTTGACCAGAAATATGAGCTAAGCCAAGGCAGGAGGTATAACGCAAATAGAATTTCAGTAAAGATTTACATTGCATTGGCTTGTCAACAAAACTTTCTTATTTTATCTCCTTCTTATGGCAATGATATAAGAGTAAGAATAACCATATGCGATTAAGCAGTAAAAAAGGTAAAGTCACTCAAGACCAAGTTCGCTTGGGGACAGTCTCAGGAAGAATGTGGAAGGAATCTGTGCTGAAGACAAAGGGTAAAATCGTAAGGGATAGAATTTTAATTATATATAATGGGTTAACTTGACCTTGCTTGCCCCCAAAGAACTGGGACTAATATAGATCTATTGTTTGTTTCTACAAACTCTGGCCAAAAATGATGTGTGCCATTAATCATATAGTGGCATCATCACATTGCGTCACCTGTTCTCCTTGGCCAAATCCCTTTCTCAAGGGACTCTGGCCTAGGAAAAGGGGGTAGATGTCTTTCATAACCAGGGATAGGAGCAATTACAGAAGCTGAGATTGTTTTCCCTGCTCCTTTATGTTGTCCAGGAAAGTTGGGCCTCCTCACAGGGTAGTGGGAGTAGAAGAGTCAACAAAAATTATGTCATGCATGATATGACAGTCACTCTGACATTGATGTTGTCTCTCCCCCTGTATCTCTTTCTTTTATAACTTTAGCAACCAGTATTACTTCCTCTGGGGCTTTGGAGCTAGAAGAACCCTACAATACCCAAGTACAACTCCTCATTTGATAGCTAGGACTCAGTGATCCAGAGAGTAGAGGAAAGTCCCATGTATAACAGCCCTGAACACCTGGGAATTGAGGCTAGGAACCCAGGCCCAGACCTCCTGCTTCAGCTCAGGGTTCTCTCCACTGTATCTAGGAGCCCTTCCACCTGGTGCTGGGTTTGCACACACAATAGGTACTTGATGCCCCTGGAGAATAAAGGTTCCTACAGTTAACCTGCATAACCCAGGCCCTACTGCTGTAGCTCTTGGCCACCTACGAGGAGCTAGCCTGATAATCAGAGTGGTTTTTAATGCCAGTGAAAATTCTTCAGCGCAAGAGTTCTGCTCACAAAGGCTTCCACTAGCTGTCAAAGCAGTTGGTGGTTTGGGTTAATAAAATTTTTAGATCTTATAAAATGTATTTTCTTTTGAGGTATTTTTGCATTGTTTTTAGAATAATGAGATCTGAGATATAAACCTGAGACTCAACAGAAGACTGCATAGAAGTTGATGGCCGAAATAAAATGTAGATTCTCCCTCAATGGAGAAACATAATTTTTCCCAGGCACAAGGCATGAAGGAGACTCTGTCCCAGCCCCTTGCTGCTTTTTTGAGACATATCAGAAGCCGTAGAAGGAGCGGGGAGGGATAGCATTAGGAGATATACCTAATGTTAAATGACGAGTTAATGGGTGCAGCACACCAACATGGCACATGTATACATATGTAACCTGCACGTTGTGCACATGTACCCTAAAACTTAAAGTATAATAAAAATAAATAAATAAATAAATAAATAAATAAATGAAAAAGAAAGAGGCTGTCAGAAGCCAATGGCTAGGTCCCAGCTGTCCTCTTTCCTGTGGTTCCAGGAAGAGACTACAGACCAGGCCCAGTTATTTGACCTTCTGTTTCTAAATGGACTCAGGGTCTGCTGAAGATGACCCTCTCCCCCACTCACCCTGCCACTTCCCTCCACTGCCAATCAATCCACCAGTGGGCATGTAGCAGTTTCCCCAGTGGGTTCCAGCCCCATACTGAAAGCAGGCCAACGACTAGAGCTGGATCCTCACAAGGGATCATGAGCTTCACAAAGACATAAAAAAGAAAATCTGCTCTAACGTTAAAAGATTACACATTAAGCCTAGAAAGTCCCCCCATTCTATGAATAGGGATAAGAAGGATCTGTTCTGTGTTACTTTGTAGGGCTGGAGTGAAGCTCAAAGGTGAGAAGGGAAAGGTATTTCGTAAAAGGGCTGTTTTGGCTTCAGTGTTTCTTGTTATGTGTGCTTATATAGTGCTTATATTTTACTCTTATTTTCTGGGCAGTGAAAACCTCCCTCCATTATTTGGCCACCACAGAGAGACTATGGCTTTTAAATTACATAGGTATATAGCAGGAGCCCACTGCATAGCCAGGGAATGAAGGAAAGCCAGAACTCATGAGAAGGGATCAGAAGTTCTGTGCCCCTGGGAGCAGGGGATGGAGAAGGGCCTGGTAGTGTTGATGGCACAGATGAGTCCTGCCCTCTACTGCTCCTGCCTCTGTATGGCTCTGCCCCATGTTCATTGCTGTTATCCCTCATCATAATTAGAGATAATTTACACATGTGTTTTCTCTCCTAGCCACCTAGGCTCCTGGGGATTTGATTTAACCTCTATCCCCTAGCTTGGCACAGTGTATGGTCTCCATAAAAGTGGATGGAAGGGATGACTGTCCTCTATGAGTTTCTGAAATATCTTGGAATCAAGTCTAGTAAAATACAGCAATCTAAAGTCTAACAGATGGAAGAAGAGAAATTCAATTTATATAATGGGTAGAGAACAGCCTCCCAGAAATTTCCTTGTTTGTTTTAACTCCATTTGTGTAGGAACCTGAGGCATCTGGGGAAAATCTCACACTTGTCTTGCTGGGGTTAATGTGCTTCCCGTTCCTGACAGACCTCAGGGAAGACAACTTAACCTGATAAAAAATCAACACCAATTTATGGAAATATAAACAGACTTCTGAAGGGCACACAACCATAAGGGGAAAATTAATCAGTAAAGAGGTATGAGCAAAGTACTTAAATCAACAAGGCAATCAGACAGAAAACCCCAATGGGAAACCTGCCTGCCTGGCCTCACCCATAGCCAGTGTCTCTCGTGGTCTCTCAAATTCCTTTCCTTCCTGAAAAGAAAAAAAATGATACCTTACATTTTTTAACTTAAGATTTAAAAATATGTTATATAGAGTAAAATTGGGCTTCTCTCATCCTTTAGCCATGAGAAAAAAAATGTTCTTTTGTTAGGAGGACCATGGTCACCATGAAGGTCAGTCATAGGCATCCATGGAGTCAATTGTGGCAGCCATGTCCCCCCAGCAGCAGATCCCTACTACTTAGATCCAGCCACTCCTCAGAGGTGGAGAAGGGGAAGTGAGAAAAGGTCCATCCTGGCCCCTAGGAAACTCTCCCCAAAGAAAAACCAAGAAGAAACACTTTCCAAATGTTTCTTTCCTTTAAAATAAAGTTAGTTAGCAACCCTGATGCCTTCATCAAAACAAAGAAAGACCTTCTGATGACAGAGTCTGAGGATGATCATGCAAAGTGCTGAACAAAGTGAAAAATGAAATCAAGATTTTTTCCATTCTCTTGTTTCTGCTGGCTTCAGGGTCCTGATTTCATTAAGCTGAAAGGGGAAAACATACCAAAAAACCCCAACAATTCTCAAACAAAAAACAAGCAAGTTAACCATGGAGTAGAAAGGTCCAGCACTTGAAAGGTTAACAAAGGGACACGTGTGAGTTGAAGCATGGTTGGGCAGCATTGATGCTTTGATGGCAAACATGCTGTCCTCACGTGGACAGAAGGTCAAAGATCTGTTCTACGAGTGAGATGAGCACTCCTTATCATGGGTCTGACATGGCCTTCACTGAGGTATCTATAGCTTCTCACATTTCCCACTGTGGCCGGGGAAAGAGTATGGCCTGTGTCATTCAAGGTTACCAGCTTACATGGGCTATCTGTGGTCCTGTATTTAGAAATGTGACAATAATAGTAGTCATCATTTACTGAACAGACTTTACCTGATTTTATCCTCACAATATGTGAGGATTATATTAATTCCCAATTTTCAGGCAAGAAAAAATAAGACCCAGAGAAGTCCAGTAACTTTTCCAAAGTGATTCTCTTAGTAGAGTAGTTCTTAGCCTTTGCTGTACTTAGAATCCCAAACTACAGTGCCCAAGCTGTATATTAAGCCAATTAAATCAGAATGTCTGATGTGGAGTATTTTTTTTTAAAGCTCCTGGATGATTTCAATGTGCAGCCAAGGCTGGATAACCACTGATCCAGTAAGCAGTAGAGTTAGGATCTGCTTACTGATCCAGTAAGCAGTAGCGTTAGATTCCAGGCCTCTGCTCATTTTTCTCTGCAATATTATCAGTCAAAAAGGAACAATCCAGAGATTTAAGTAAATATTCATCAAATAGTGCTCCTACTGAAGATAGGAGACAGATTCAGAAAAAGAAATCCATTTGGCATAATGTTTACTTTTCTTATAAATAGAAACAGGCTGAGGGTTAAATGTCTTTTCCCTACAGCAGAAGGCATGGGCTTTGCAAACAGGATTTTCAGACATTCAGAATCTTTGTACTTTATCAAGTTCTAGCTATGTGCTTGAGGGTTCAGTTGTAGTTTGACTTCAGGGTCTCATAATAGCTTCTGGGACCCACAGTGAGAATACCGACTCACAAAGGGCACTCGTGGCCAATGTCACCCTCATACCTCATCTGTTCAGACAGATGCGTCCTGCTGCCAATTCCAATGAATGCTTCAGTTAATAGTCCTCATTTTCTAGGGCAACATCATCAGGATTGAAACATCTTCTGCTGGCTGCTATGTGGAACAGAACATCCCATCTCCCTGACTTCTCCTGTCATGAGGAAATTATTGAAAATAATTTTCCCTATTAAAATGCCTGTTTTCCTGAGGGTAGGAGCCACCATGGACACTTTAGCTGAGACATCTTAGTTGAGACATAAAAGCTTGGCTAATCAGAACCATCAGCTTGTCACTGCCATTCAATTAACCCTTTCTTCTATGTCAGACTGTGGCTTCTAACTGCATTAAGACCTTCCTGGCTAGCATTCCCTCTTGTGAAACTGCTGTTGATAATGGCATCCCAATGCCCATAGCCCGTAGCTGCACTACACAGACACATTTCACTGTCAGAATTACCTATGAAAGTATTTCTGAACCCCTAGATGTGACACATTAGGCTCCATCTTACAAGGAGCTTTAAGGTATTCATTCAGTTTTTTATACATTAATTCAAGATACATTTACTGAGCACCCTCCCTATTCTAGATACTGCCCTATACACCAGACAAAAAACACCAAGTAATGTCCAGACTCAGATCTAAGAAAGCTTCCAGTCTTGTGTGAAAGCTTGAAACATGGAAGGCAATTATAACCCAATGGGTGGCTAAATGATGGACCTGCCTATGGCTCTCTCAACTCAGTCTGGGGGTAGGGGGTGATCAGGGAAGCCCTCTTGGACAAGAAGAAGCTTGAATGGAGGAAATCTGCACAGAGGTATGAACGATGAACAGGCTTTTAATGCTGTAGAAGCTCATTTCTGCAGGGCAGCTAAGACTATACCTGTCTCATTCAAAGGTTTCAAATGGCTCTCAAGGCTCTTCAGAAAATGGCTTTCTAGCCCCTTCTCCTTCCCAGTCCCCCGTGCTGAGCCACTACTCTGTTTCCCAACCAGCCCTTACATATCCATATATTTCCCTTCTTGTTAGGGCTGTGTTCTTTGTCAGGAATGTCCATTATCCTCTGTCTGTTGGGCTTCTCCTCACCCTTCAAGACCCAGTACAAATGTCACTTTCTCTGCAAAGACTTCCCTACCTCTGACAATCACAGGACTTGTGACATTATATTATAGTTATCTGTGTGCCTATCTGAGCCACAAGCTTCTGGAGGACAAGACTGCATCTTAGTCATATTCACATTCCCAGAGTTTGGCAGATAGAAAGTGTATTATATGCCTTCTTTTTGACAAAGGAATGGAAGAACAAAGTAACACATCAAAAATTTATAAGAACATTTTCATCCATTTCAATGCAAAAGGAGGTAGAGTCTCCCCGGAAGAGGCTACAAATTGGGGTAAATGAACAGGATCCTGGTATCAGCTCCTGACAAGCCAAGGAGCAGCACTTGCCCAACTTCTGAAAAGGAAGTTATTTGGTGACTCGCTGATGTGCAATAACACCATAAGCAAGCAGAAACAAATGGGGAGACTTGGGAGCAAATTGATTATTCATGAATCCAATTACAACTAATAGCTCAAGAAAGACCCCTCTCAGATGCCTATAATAATTCATGCAGAGGACAGAAGGAACCCTGCCAGGTTGGCATCTGGGTCCTGAAGTGTCAGGGAGCTTGGACAGGTATGTAGCAAATCATCTCAGGGAGGCAAGCTCAACTTCTTAGACTCAATGCTGACAGGACCAGGGTCATGCTCAGGTCCCCTTGGGCTAGTTCACAGCCCAGAGACAAATTTTCTGTGGACAGAGCCTGTGCTCCCTTACCTAAGCCAGTCACCCACAACATTTATCTTATTTTAAAGTCAGCAACCTCAGATGCAGGATCAGGTAATTAAGCAGAGGGATTTAATAAAACCTTTTTATTAAATGAGCAGTGTGTGAGTTCTCCTGCTCACATACTGTAGTGAACCCCAAACAGGGTGAGTCAAAAACATGCCTAAGTGGTTCAGAACCATGGACAGTTCCCCGGCGGGGGTGGGGTGGACTACTCTCCTCTATTCATTTAAAAGTGCAGGTTCCAGCTTAGAAGTGCCTGCTTACTCAACCCTCAATAGAGAGGGGTGGGTATGGAAACCCTTCCCATGTCTTTTATTATGAATGTAGTGAGAAACCAGAATGAGCTCAGGGAGGTGGAGGCCATCCCTTTGTCACCACTCTCAGTCTGGCTGACCCTACTTGGGCATGGGTTAAAAAGTCAACAATTGCTAATGATGATGAATGATTACTTATGTCTTGATGGTGTGTGGGATTAGGAAGAGCACAAATGTCTTTTCTTACTCTATCACGAGTTCCTCATACTGTAGGAGAAACTATTCTGGCCACAGACAGAGATGTGTATTTCAATGGGAGAAAAAGAGAAGTATGTAGAAGTATATACTTTGGTATTAAAGCCCCATATTTGATCAGCAAGGCAAAGGCATATTCCCACTAAGTCTCCTTCATGGTAAGTATTTGACAGTTCTAATGTGCTCATAGAGGCTTATCTTACTCAATAAGCCCACAGGAGAAAGGCCTCTGCTTAAAATATATACATATTTTGATAGCGATACAGTCTCCCTATGTTGCCTAGTCTGGTCTTGAACTCCTGGCCTCAAGAAATCCTCCACCTTGGCCTCCTAAAGAGCTGAGATTACAGGTGTGAGCCACCAAAGCCTGGTCCTCTGGTTAACTTTTCATTGTCCACGAGGAAATAGTGGGTAGGGTGTGTTTAACTATAGGCATAGGAGCAGGATGAGGTATTCACAATCTAAAAAAAATGTATCTAGATGTTCTGCCATTAGATACACAAAAGATTACCCTTCTCTCAAACAAAACAAGCTCCTTTTAATAAAGGAATCAGGGAGTTTGGTCCTTTGGAAATAATTTAATAAGCTTTCTCTGGAATCCAGTTTCAGCTAACATGCAAGAACCAGGCACATTTTCATCCCCTTTCCAATATTCAAAACAGTCCACAAGGCACTCATGGAATAGGAAGGAGTAAAGCTTTAAAAGAAAAAACGCTGAAGCACATCTCCTGTCTCTGCATTGTCTGCACAGCTAATCTCAAGGGATCTCAGTAATCCTCCAAACAAAAGAGACTGATCTAAACTACAAAGCAACTGTGAATGAACCACTGAATCAGGACAAATGAGACCAGGAGGTTCTAACCCTGTGTTCTCTATGGTCAGCAGACAACCTGCACCAGAATCAATTGATACTTGTTAAAATGCAGACTCCTAGGGAACATCAAATATCTACTGAATCTTAATCTCTCGGGTTGTTATCAGAACCTACATTCTAAAATAGGCTCTTCCTGAAGGAAGGTTGGTAAACAACTGCTCTAAGCCATAATGAATGTAGGCTTAGGAGTCTGAAGACTCTTGGCCCCCTTGTCTGAGTTCTGATGAGTTGTGTGTTTTCAGAATGTCATTGTGCCCTCTTTAGTGACAATCTTGGAGCCTGAGACCACATGAAAGAGACTGTGAGTTACTTTCATTTCCAGTGCCTGGCACATAAGGAATTCTTAATGAATGGTGAATAGTGAAATGAATAAATAGATGATAATGAGAGACCACACAGTAGGACAGGTGATAAAAAGGATGGAGTAATGAACAAATGAAGACCAATGGTGAAATAATAGATTTCAGTATAACAATTACCAAACATGACTTAGAATTAACGTTTTGCCTTGATGACATGGAAATCTTAAATAAATTTCTCTCTGGTCATTCTATGTCATTTACTTAAAATGGGAAAAGACATGGGGGACTGCTGGTTTGAGGTATGTGTGCAGAGGTCCCATGTGCACCCAGCACACACACACGTGCTTACACACACAGCCATCCAGGGACGCAGCTGCCACACTAAATATTGATTAGCAACAGGAGGAGCCAGTTTTAGGTGCATTTACAAAGGAAAAGCAGGCTTGAATAGACAGCCCCTTAGGTAGAAAGTACAGCTCTATATTTTGATGGCTTTGCCACTTCACCTGGCATAGATAGGGCCAGCAAATGTCTTGCTGGGAACCAGCTGTGCTGGGCATGCTGCTCTTCTCTGACCCCAAATCTGCATCCCAACCTGCTAAAGGGCCCTCATTAGTAGGGCCCGAATTGCCTGGAACATTCAGATGTCTTTGCTGCCAAAATACTCATAAGCCAAAGCAAATACTGTCAGGTAAGAACCAAAGGCTACCAAATGAAAAAGCAAGCTCACAGTGGACTATAATGTGGCTGAGGTTAGATTATACATGAAACTGTGAAGCTGGGCTTCTATTTGGGCAGAAAAGGGTTAGAAGAAGTAATCATTTCCCTTCAAGCCATTCTGCATTTTTAAATTCCTCAGCATGCAAGGGGAAAAAGGAAAGAAAATTTAGAGCACAGGGTACATTTATAAGCCAAGAGACCAAATCAGACATAAAAAGTGGCTTCTTCTTTAGGTTTTCTTTTATGTCCTTATCCCTCCTCCTGCTGACCCAAACTTTGGTTAAGAAATTATCAAGAAAAAAAATGCAGCTGTCCTTTCCTTGTGCTTCAAAACCAAAGGGAAGCTTCTGGTAGAAATACCCCAAGTCTAACTTTCAATACTTACGGCAATAATGTCCACCCTGACATGCGGCAGAGGAAGTTCAAATATACCATGCATTGCCAGGTGGCCCTCCCAGCTTGTGAGCTGTGACACCACATTTCTCTTCACTCAAGAAAGCATATTGAAACTCAAGTGAGTAAGAATGGCATTATTATAGGTAGAATTTTGAATATGGTATAATTTTTAAAGTAAATCATATAAAAACATTTGCAATTGACTGTCATTAGTAATAAATTACTTGCAACACACCTCACAACTTATTATGAAAAGTAAATCAATCTACCTTGTTCAATAACAGATTCCTTGTTCCTCAGGCTGTCAGAGAAAAATCCTAGGAAACTGATAAAACCTTTCATCCTGGATGAAGATGATGACCCCTCTCAAAAATATGTTATCAGTACTTTAAAAATAGCTCTCAAAATTTTAAGTGCAGGGTTTAAGTCAACACAAGAGCCATGTAATGCTGTAGCTTTTGCCATATCAGCTTGCTTTGAGACTTACTGTATCAATATCCATTGTCTTTTTCTGCCCAACCCACACTCTTTCATGGATAGAAACCACCCAGGGCTGATGAGGTCGGTCAAGAGAGTCCCCCAACTTCTGGCTGGGCCCTCTCTATTCATTCCTGCAGGCAGCTCTCAGTAAAGCCAATGTCTTACTCTAAAATAAAGGTCAGTGGTCTTGTTTTCCAGAGCAACTGTGATGACACAGGAGGAAGATTAAAATAGTTTCCTCAGCAAAGTGCTAAGGACAGTGCCTGGCCCACAGTAAATGCTATATAAGTGTTTGCTATTATTATGATGATAACATCTCAAAGCTGCCGGCAGGAACTATTGCTGCCTAAGGCTAGGCAGGAAAATTACACTTCATATCCAAATTCCCTTCTTTCTAAAAGGCAGGTGCTACCAGTTTCCAAAGGGACAAGGTCAGGCCTTAGTTCCTGGGTGTCAAAACATGGCTTATCTATGTCAGAAAGAGCTCTTGACAGGGGAGGTTAAACAAAAAAGGAGTGAAATGGCCCACACCATTCACCAGATGACCTTTTTAAGGGTAGCAAATTGGTTTTGAACTGAGAGACAGTTGGATAATAATCCAGTCTCCTTCCCTACCTCTGACCCCCTACAATTTTGAGTGTGCCTAGTAATTACTGATGAAACGTGCCAATTACCATTGCTTTTCCAGCTTTTCCCCATGTAACCCTTCTGGAGTCTTACTATTTTGTGGGAAAGATGGGGTGGGTGGGGGTGGGAGTCTGAGCGCACGGGAGGTCAGATGTGGCAGCAAGCAAAAGTGAATGTAAGCAGTCTGGATTCCCTACCTGGCCCTACGGAAAAGCTCTGCCCAGGCTAGAGCCAAGCACCTCCCCTCAGTGTTTTTGCTTTGTTCTTTTCAAATTACACTTATACAATTTGGAATGCCCATGTTGCCTACTCATGCCCAACCATAATCAAACCAAGTGGATTTTCTGCTTTCAACTGGGATCTGTAATACACTCAATGGCCATTATAACCCTCTCCTCTGGACACCAACCAGGCAGGTATCTGGGCATTAACTTTACTTGTCCTGTCTTTTTAACTCTCCTTTTCCTCATTAAAGATGAGGTGTCTGTGGTTCACAAGACAGCTGAATCTATGACATGAAAGGGGCCAAGTGATCAGAGAATAGGAAGAAAAGGTTTGAGAGTTATCTCCCCACTCTGTTATTTCCTTAGATTTTATCTGTCCAATTAGGTGGAAGCCTTTAAAGCAGAAATGATGCTGAAATATTTCTGGCTCTCCCATCACCTTCCCTAACTTCCTAGGAAATGTTATTTGTTGTTACAGTGAGCGTGTATCCATGTCGCTTTACATCTTATAAAAGCCCATATACTTGGAGTTAAAAAATGCTAGGTCTTAACTTCACAGAGAAGTTAAAAAATTGGCCCCACATTACCAAACAGGAAGTGGCAGAACTGCATGGCTTCACCCAGGCTGCATGGCCTCAGAGCTTGCACCCTTAACCACTACTATACAGTCCCTCACACTGGTTCATCCACTTCTCTTTTTACTCTTTCACAGGCCTTATCTCTCCACAGAAAAATTATTTACAGAGGCTTAAATAAGTGAGTTTAAGAAAGTAGACAGGGGAGTGTAATGGAAGCCAGGAAGGAGAGGAACTCAAGGGCTTATTTCCAGTTACTGGGGAAATTTTATGAAAAAGATGAGATCTCAAGAAATGCCACAAGCCCTTTGAAAAATAATCAATTATATAAATCCAGATTAAATTACCTCTTTAAAAACACATATATTGCTGTTCAAATACACAAATGTCTTGGGGAGTCTCCGATAGAGTTCCCAGGTAAAGCAGCAGAGCTCTAGGTACATTTATTAAGCCCACAAACCATTACCTGAATAAACACTGAGCAAGTGAGAGAATCAACATATGAAGTTTGCCCTGCCTAATTCCTTCTCCCAGCTTGGCAGGGTGCTCTACCACCCACACTGAGAAGGAGAGCTCATGCCTCTTACCTCAACCATTTCTGATTTTCTGTGCAAAGCTGACATGTTAGGTCGGAGCAAATGAAACAAATGAGTATTCTTGGGAAGCCTGAGGCCCAGTGTGCCACAGAGGCATGCAGGCCCCTGAGCATCTCAGAAAGTCATTTAGGAATTCATCCGATGGGAGGGAGCCCAGGCCAGCTGTGGCCATGAGAACATCCCAGATAACACTAGCTGCAACCCCCACCATCAGGTCACAGCACTGACAGAAGTGAGGTGGCTAAGGATAAATTTGTTTTACAGGAACTGCTCCCCAAATCTCACCCCCACAAGCAGAACCAGGCAGCCCAGTGTGGCTCCTCTGGGGGTACACCACCAGCTCGGGCATCAACTCAGCATCATCACATTCAGAAAGTAAGTGGCCCACGGTGAGATCATGAGCAAAAGGCTGGTAGAGGTACCTGGGAGATAGTGGGTCAGACAAGAAAGGAATACAATTCATGTACAAGTTCCAGGTTCTTCTAACCACTGGAGTCCACACTGACTTCTCCCCTTGCAGGCTCCTCTAGCAGACATCCTTGCTTTGCCCAATTTCACAAGCCAGCCATCTCATCTATTGTGTGTTCATGACTCAAGGCAGAGGCTGTGTCGTCTATCTGCCTTCTAGGACAGAACCTCATTTGATCTTCATCACAGAGGAGGCCTATCTTAGTCCATTGGGGTGCTACAACAAGATAGCTTAGACTGGGTAATTTATAAATAACAGCAATATATTGCTCACACTTCTGGAGGCTGGGAAGTCCAAAAACCAAGGTGCTGGCAGATTCAGTGTCTGGCAAGGGCTCTGTCTGCTTCACAGACAGCACGTTCCTCACAATGTAGCAGAGGAAGGAAGTTCTCTGGGGCCTCTTTTATAAGGGCATTAATCCCATTTATGAGGGCAGAGCCCTCATGACCTAATCGCCTCTCAAAGGGCCTACCTACTAATACCATCACCTTGGTGGTTAGTTTTCAACATATGAATTTGGGGGAAACACGAACATTCAGACCACAGCAAGGCCCTTAACACTTTCTGGATTAGGTGATGGGTCGTTGAGAGCCCAGGGCACAGCAGCTCTCCGAGGTGAGTCTCTCAGATACCCTCTGGCAAGTCTCTGAGAGTTAAAAGAAACAGACCCCTTTCTCCTTGCTTTTGGTGACAGAAGAACCAGATGATCAAATTATCAATTAAGCAAAGCAAGCTAAATGGGAAACAAAGTATCCTTTCATATGGCCTATTTTTTTTTCTTTCTTACTTCAAGTTCTTAGAATATACTTCTCAGAAAGCTGTGCATGTTGGGTAGATATTTTCTGAATGGAACTCAATCAAATGAGCTTAGGTTTGGAAAATGCTCTGACTTGAGAAAGGAGAATCAAAGCGCATAGAAATTTGGGTAATGGTTGGAGTTTACCTGAGGATTAATCCAGACTATGGTAGCTACAAAGTAGCACAATGCTTGTCTGGGCATGTGCAGATGAAGTAGGAATTCTAAGCCCCCAGGAACCCCCTTCATCTTCAATTACCGTCCAAACCAGCCTGTTACAATGCCTAAAATTACACCATAAACAATTAATTGATCTGGGTTAAGGCTCTGCATTAACATTTATGTTTTCATCTGAGCAAATTCCAGATATCACCATGGTCATTAAAGGCATTGCCGTCTGAGAAGGATAAGCTGCACCAGCTGTGGGCATTTACCAGGACACTCATGAGATTTTTACTTTGTTGGCTAAGAGGAAGACCTCATGTGACTGACAGGGAGGCTGACTTTGGTGGGGAAGGGAGAACAGGTGCTTCTGAGGAGAGCTAGTCTGGGCAGGGCTGTGAAAAGAGAGGTGTGGGTAGAGAATATAAGCTCATCTGGGGTGCACAACAAAATGGGGAAGGACACAGAAGGACAAGGAGAAGGGCAGGTCTTAGCCACTTCATTGTTCTTTCTTGTTCAAGGTCTGGTCACAAGTTCTCTTTCACCTTTAATCTCCAATAAGTTAATGCCTGGAGCATCTTCAATTAGTATGTCTGTCTGTCTCACACACACACACACACACACACACACACACACACACACAGCCCTCAGAAGTCACACTCAGCTCCCCTAGAATTGATTTTAAAAGCCAGTCCTAATTCTGATGGCTCTGTCCATGGTTCTAGCAGGCAAGGTTCTGAAATCTTGCAATACAGAATCATAGACTTCAAAACTTAAAATTGACATATCTATCATTATTTACGCTACATTGAATTCCAAATGATTAAAGATGATTAACTCATAAAAGAGATAAACTAGGGGAGTGACGGCAATTGATTTCATGAAAGGATTTCCTACTGAACCCTGTTGAACAGGACTCCCCATTTCCCTCAACAAGTCCCACCTATTCCCATCCAGCCCCCAGATGCAGGGACCTCATCAGAAGCTGTCTCTTCTTTGGGAGTCACAACATTGGTTGACTGTACTTCTTAAGTCTTCTCACCAAAATGTCCCAGAAGGTACAGGGAGCAAGAGAGAAAATAGAGGCCCAGCTCAGGGCCCATAAAAAAACAGCAACATTTCTTTCTTCAAGTCCTACATTTTATCTTACAATTAGGTAAAGTTTGCATTCCACTAAATAAAGCATGTTTTTATTCAATATAATCCCCCGCCACCCCCCACCAAAACCTTTGGGGAAAACAGATGCTCCAGGAAGCAGCATTTGGAAACCAGAGGCACGGCCTTCCTGGGGTGGCTCAGCCTTCTCTTCTGCCCCTCTGCACCATGTATGGAAGATGCCACCCCCCTTGGCAGCAGGAGAAGAGTGAGCTGTAGGCCCCTGATTCTGATGGCTGACCTGCTCATGGGGCTTCCTAGGGCCTGGAGAGGGTACCCGTTTGAACAAAAAGCCTTAATAGCACCTACCCCATAAGGTTGTTTGAAGGACTAAAGGAAATAATCTAGTTGCAGACACTGAAGAAGTGTAAGCTATTAATATTAGGATTTATTCTCCTTTTATCTAGTTAAGAAAGTGACCAAATTTTCTCCCTAGTTAAAGCCCTTTGGTAGCTCCTACAAGGACCTCTGCAACTGGCCACTACCTGACTCTCTAGCCTCATTCTCTTCTTCTCCCTGCAGTCCGTCATGCCTTGGGCCCCACTGTTTAGTCTTGGATGGTTTAGAATGCTCCACACTTCCCATGCTCTTTTGCACCTCAGGGCTTTGTGTGTGCTGACTGCTCTGGCTGGAATGCATGCCCCCACACAGCCTCCCCTCTAGTGGTGAAGCCCCCTCATCTGATTAGATGCAGAAGGAGACAGAACCTTTTCTGTGAAGACTTGTGAGCCCCCCTGCCTCCATAGACCTAGCGTACACCCCAGGCATCACCTTTCTTCTTCTACTTCCAGTATTTGTTGTCTGCCTGAGTCACTTTTCAGATGTCCAGCTCCTTGGGAATGGGAATTCATCTCTGTATGTCTTTTTACATTTAAAAGACATTCAACAAATGTTTGATGTGTGAGTGAATGAGTGAGTGAGTGTGTGTGTGTGTGTGTGTGTGTGTGTGTGTGTGTGTGTGTGTGATGCTGGGATGGGGCGGGGGAAGTGTTGATAGGTGCCAGGGGAGATGAAAGATATATTTGCCTAGCATATAGCCTGTAAAAATGGACTGTCATGCATCAGAGGGCAGAGATTCCATCTACAAAAGTCTGCTGATCAGTCCCTAACCTAGTGCTGCAAGACTCAAGGAGGCTGCCAAAAAAGTTTCTATATGTTGATCACAATGGATGCAGGGTTTTTACTTGCCTGTGAATCAATCTATACCATTCTTTCCCCACAGTTGAGTGCACAGGTCCAGGATACTATACCCTGTCCCTATACACACATGCACATGCATGCATGCATGCATACACAGACACACACACACACACACACACAGAGAGAGAGAGAGAGAGAGAGCGCACAAGAGAGAGTACACTTCAGCTATCTCCTGCCATTTCAGTTTTGCCAGAACTGTTTATTTGCCCATAAGTGGGTGTTTTGTTCAAGATTTTATATTTTTTCATTATAGTGATTTTAATTATCTTATCCATTTTGCTTTCTGCTGGCTGCATTTTAGCTTACTGTTCTTTTGCATTGTTTTATTTTTAGTTTTAACTTTTTTTTTTAGAGATAGGGTCTCATTAAGTTGCCCACGTTGGAATGCAGCAGTCATCCACAGGCACAATCACAGTGCAGTACAGCGTCAAACTCCTGGGCTCAAGCCATCCTTCTGCCTCAGCCTCCTGAGTAGCTGAGACTACAGGAGTGTGCCACCATGCCCAGCTTTGCACTATTTTATCTCCTTTTTAAAAACTTTAGATTTTTTTAAATGGGATGTTCCTGGGTAAAGAGTAGGCATTTATTAAGATTGCCCATGACTTGGGAGGCCGAGACAGGTGGGTCACCTGAGGTCGGGAGTTCGAGACCAGCCTGACCAACAAGGAGAAACCCCATCTCTACTAAAAATACAAAAGTAGACAGGTGTGGTGGTGCATGCCTGTAATCCCAGCTAGTCAGAGGCTGAGGCAGGAGAATCGCTTGAACCCTGGAGGCAGAGACTGCAGTGAGCAGAGATCGCGCCATTGCACTCCTGGGCAACAAGAGTGAAACTCCATCCCCCCTCCAAAAAAAAATTACCCATGACTAGAATACAGAGGTTCCATATCATCTGCCCTTGAAAACATCTAGATTAATGATAAGGATGGGAAACAGATACAGAGAAAAAAAACACAAACTCTTAAAATGTATACATAAATGCACCCCAAATAATCCTGAGCATCTAAATAACCAGGTTCCAGGAAGACAAGTGAAGGAAGAGGTTAGAGCAGCTGTGGGGAGCCGGAGGAATGGTTCTGGAGCCGTTCTGATTACCCTCCCAGATCATCAAGGCTCTAATTCTCACAGTACTTACACCTCTTTTTTGGGTTTTCTGCACAGCATGAGCAACTGCTAGGCATAATTACTTAGGCTGGGTGCCTGGGCTGCTTGCTTACCAAAGAGTGTTGACTACCCTCTCTTCCCCCTCCTCCCAAGCAACATCACCATTTATGCAGAATTACATGATTCAGCTCTTGCTAAAGGAGGTTGTAGCTGCTTTCTGGTAAAGGAACAAAGCAAAGAAGGAAAGGCAGTCAAGAAGTAGCCAAAGCCACGTGGTGATCAGATCTTTTATTTTCAATCTCATCATGCCCTAACTTGTGGATTTTCACTAGAGTATTTCCAGTGGAAAGTAAGGAGAGAGAAAGGGTAGTCACTGGGCAGCCAGAGGACAGGGAAATGGTCTCAGAGCTAAGTGGTTCAGTCACAGAGTAACTACGAGGAAAGACACCCAAAGGGAAGAGACTGAGGGGGAATAAAAGAAAGTCATCAGGTGCATAATGAAAAGGTAGATTTCTGTGGTCTGGGTGTATATTTGACCCTTTCTCTTCCAGTACAAAAAATGTTTGCTATCTTACCTGTTGGCATTTAGAACTATAAACTTTTGTCCTTCAATCAATTAAGATTTTGAGTCAATTAATATTTATACTCTTTCTACTCAGGATTCAGACTCTGACCTCTTCCCTTGTCTATCTGTATTCATTTCTCAGATCATCTCACCCAGTCTCATGGATTTAAATACTATCAATAGGCTAATGGCTCCTGAATTTATATAGTTAGCCCAGAACTCCCCTTTGATCTCTCAATCTGAACTCTCAATTCCTACATGCCCTCTCCCCCTGCACATACCCCTCAAACTCCATCCTCCAAAAGTCCTCATCAACTCAGTAGCAACTTCATCCTTCCAGTTCATCAGGCCAAAGGCCTTGCAACTGTCCACTCTCAAACACCCACAGAAAGTACTGTTGTAGCATCTGGCCATTTCTCCCCACAACTCCATTGCTACCAACTTAGACTAAGTCACCATTGTTTCTTAACCGGATTATTACAGTCTGCTCCTGACTCATCTCCCTGTTTCTACCCTTGTCCCACTCTGTTCTCAACATAGTTACCAAATTTATCTTTCAAAATTTAAAACAGAACATATCACTCCCCTGCTCAAAACCCTCCAAAGATTCTATCTCCCTTAGAATAAGAGCCAAAGTCCATGCATTGGCCTGTAATATGTATCAGTTCTAGGCCCACAAGAATGAGTTTCCACCTCCACTTCTGAATTCATTTGCTACCACTCTCCTCTCATTCACTCCCCCCGCAACCATATTGGTCTCTTTGCTTCCCCTCAGACACCTCAGGGCCTTTGCACCTGCTATTTCCTCTGCCTGGACCCTCTTCCTCAGATATCTACACAGTCTTCTCCTTCAATGAATCTAAGCTTTTGCTCAAATGTCTCCTTACTTGTGAAGGCTTCTCTGGCCACTCTACGTCAAGTGATCCATGAAGGCAGTGACCGTATTCACTGATGTATCTCTGATACACAGCACAGCCTGACACATCAGAAACTCTCATTGCATGTTTTGTGAACAAATGAGAAAATGTAGCTAAAGCTGGGCACATGACTCAAGCTAGGAAAATCGATGTTCTCTTCTGGGTCTATGACTCCAGAGGGTTGGGAAAATCAGTTGGAATGGATCCATCCCAGCAGTAATGCCCTGATAACATTGAACCTGTATTCCTGGCTTGGCTTTTTTGCTTTTTTTTTTTTTTTTTTTTTTTTTTTTTCTGAGACAGGGTCTTGCTCTGTCACTAGGCTCCGGTGCCGTGGCACAATCAGAGCTCACTGCAGCCTCAAACTCCTGGGCTCAAGGACTCCTCCTCCTGTCTCAGCCTCCTCAGTAGTTAGGACCATAGGTGCATGCCCCCACACCCAGCTAATTTTTGTATTTTTTTGTAAAATGATCTTGCTATGTTTCCCAGGCTGATCTTGAACTCCTGGGCTCAAGTGATCCTCCTGCATCAGCTTCCCAAAGTGCTGGGATTACAGGCATGAGCCATTGCGCCTGACCTCGATTCTATTGTTTCTCAGCCTGATTCATCAGCTATACCTTAAATTCTGTGAGCAGCTTTACCTCCTTCCAATAAATTCTCCTTTTTCTTAAGTAGCTAGTGTCACTTTCTGGTGCTTAAAATGTAATAACTGCAATTGATAGGCTGTTTCACTCCCAATTCCTATACTATCCTGTGCTCAATAAAAGTATTACATGCTCCATGAGAGTTCTAGTCAGACAGATTGTCTTTCTACTGATATTCTAGGAATGATCCTCAGTCTAAAGTTCTACAATCTTATTAAAAATAATATTGACAGGTGCCCATATTACTTTGTATCTCTAAAATGTGAGTTAACCCCTCATTTTACTGAAAAGGAAATGGAAGCCCAAGAAGTGAAGTAGGAGACTGTATGAAAAGAGTCCAGACGTTAGAGCTTGATTTGCCAATCCTGTTCTCAATAGTGCTCACTCCCCATCCTGACTAGAACTACAACAGTAGGGTCAGTTATCTTGCTCATTGTCTTAGGACTGAACCTTCATTCTGCATCATAGCTTCTGGAGTTAGGGAGCCCCCCCAAGCAACAGCTAGAGGCCCCCACTAGACTGCATGGTTTGCTTTCCTGCCTTTGAGAGGCCATATCTGGCTATGGAAAGTCCTCAGAGATGAAGCTAACTTGGCAGGACCCAAGGCCACCCTGAACATGCACTGCTGGGCTGGTGCTGCAGTATTTTACCAGGCTTGTTATCATTGAAAAGAGACTAGCAGAGGTCAGGGATAAATAAGAGCTGATAAGTCTTAGTAGTCTGGCATGAATGCTCACTGATACCTTTTTCAGCTCCAACTTAAAAGTGCTTGTAGTTGTATTTGGAAATTGGCCATAGGGTCTTAGCTAAACTGAATTTTCAGGCTATGATATCTGCAAGTTTAGAAGTCACCTTAACTGCATGACACACAGTTGATCAGCACCCAGGACAGCATCTCTTGTGAGCTTGGGGAGGATGGACCTCGCAGCACAACACAAACCCAGTTGAATTCAGGACTCTAGGGCCTATATTCTGCAGATAGAAAAGCTCAGCTGTTGCATTATAGTCTCAGTCCTAAAGGTCAATCCAAGATACCAGGGGGGGAAAAAAACACAGAAGCACAAACAACAAAAGCTTAATCTTGCAGGGACTCTATAGAGTTAAATGTAGAGTGGCTAGAGGGACAGGAGCTAAGTAAAGATAGTAAACCTTCCTGGAAACCTACTCAGGGATTTGAAGAAAGGAAGAAAATGGATATGCTAGATAGAAGGATACACAAGGCAGGAGGGCACAGACAGATAAAGATGAACAAGACAATCCAACCCTACACATTTATTTCCATCAATACATTCAAAATGTTCCCCAGAACATCAGGAAATACCATCTCTGAAAAGAATGTCCACCTCATTTTTCTTCAAATACAGTTACAAAATCAACTCTCCGATAAAGCTCTTTTCATTCCCTCCTATCTTTTTTTCAGAAACAGACTTTTACCTTCTAACAATGGTGACTATATTTAGACCCAAAGAAAAGTTATCCATGATATGAGGCTTCTATATTCGGTTCTGCTTCTTCCTCTCATGATTACCTAACTCTATTGTTTCTGGGTTTGTTTTTCCTTCTTTTATTCCTAGATTCTCAGTCTTATACTCTGCCAGAAGCTGGTCTCTTCTGGCATGCTTTTTAGAATTTTACTTACAGGCTGCCATGATCTTATTTCCCTCACTCTCTGTTATTTACCTGTTGGGATTTAAAATAGTCATCTCCTATGTTAACTCTCTTCTCTTTCCCCCAACTTTGAGAAAAAGTCTCTGATTAAATTTTATGATTAAATTTTTTTTTTTTTTTTTTTTTTTTTTTTACTAAAAGAAACTTTGGAAGAATCAAACTCAGGCTTGTGACAGCTAAAACACACTTACCACGTCTTTTAAATGTAAAAACAGAGAGTGAGAAGGAAGAGGAGGGAGGAAAGGACGGAGAACATTTCTTCACAATCACCGTGATGGAGGAATCACACATCATCAGGTAAAGCCAGCTCCAGAGGCTAAAATATGGCAAAGGTGACTTGTCTCAAAACCAAAAATTGAAACCTATCCTTTCAATCATTCCCCATCATACTGATCAAGGTACCTGCTTTCCCCTCATTTAAAGAAAATTCAAGTCTCTAAAAGGACTAAATATCTTCCACCTAGGGAGACACATGCTCATTTAAATTGGTCCACTGCAGGCTATGATAAAGTGGTCACTAGGATCCTTCGAATGACTGGAGTACGTATCATCGAGTATAAGAAGAAGTGCTTTCTGAATGATGCCGTCACATGATCCATGATAGTGAAGACATAAAAAATAACAGAATATTGCAAACTTCTTTATTTTGGCCTGTGTAATCACAGATTTACCTACAACAGGATAAATGAATTCATATTATGAAACTGAAACACACTGGTAAATATAACATGCTCCATATAAATGGTGCAAGAGAATCCCCAAAGGCAAGAGGAGTGCAGGAGGACCCAGGCCAAACCATTCCTCCGTGGCAGTCTTGTTCCTCAGTCCTTCTGCTTATATGGGTGGGGAGGCGAAAGGAGAAAGGAATGAGGACAGGAAAAAAGCAACAGCTGTGAAAGATGGGGCCAAGCAGACGTGAAAACTGAAGCTGTACTCAGGCCATTTTCCTTCTGGGGAATCTTAACACCAAGCTGCACCTAACAATTGTTCTACCCAAGCAACACTGCAAGAAAGCAGACATGAGGAGGATAGAGGCACAGGAGGTTAATGGAAGGCCCTCACTGAAAGCCCTGGCCCACAGAATGTGCCTCCCAAACTGTGTGAGGCCTGCGAGCGTTCTGTGTACAAGAGACCAGCCCTGTCTCAGGTACCAAGCGGAAATAGTCAATAGCCCATCAACCGACAGGGGCAGCCTGGGGCACCTGCTGATTCTTGCAGTGATGATCTGTGTTACTTAACTTGACATCAGTGTGGGGATATTCTAAAGGACTACAGAAAGGAAGTGTGCTGGGGGATGGGCAGAAGAGCCCCGCTAGATTAAAGAGCATGGATGGGATTCCTGGCAGGCAAAATCTTGCTTAATTTGCCTGAAGTTAATTGATTAGAGATAGTGCTCTCATAACTATTGGAAGGAAAACAACTGGGTGAGCTGCCAGGCTGAGTCAGGAAGTCACCTGCTGGAGCTGAGGCCAAGAGGAGACAGTGCTGCCTAACCAAAGGCCTTCTCAGAACTAGCAAGTTGAGTCACAGAAAGGCAGAGAACACAAAAAACAATAAATAAAAGGACAACAGGTCAAATCTAGTCACCATGAATTCTGAAGGAATTATTTTATTTCTGGGAATTTGGCCTGAACAAATCTCACTTTATTTCTGGGAATTTGGCTAGAATAAATCTTAGCAAAAGGGGACCATTCATTCAAGGTGATTTGTCCTCAAAGGATTCCCTTCATTCCTTCATTCAGCTGGAAGTCCTGGTGCACTGGAGCCCATGGTTTTTATCTTTAAGTCCCCAGGGGAACAATGCTGGGGTAACCATCCAGATGGGAAATAGAATTCCTGGCTTGATAGTTTCATATCCCCTGCTTTCCTATGGGCTCAAGGAGGCAGGCCGCAGACCACTGCGTCTCTGGGATTTCTCCTGGTACAATGCTGGGCACTCAGTGGTTCTTATTGGATGGTGCTGAATTTGAATGACAGCAGACAGTTTGGGTCTTAGACTACTGCCTCATGCACTTTCCCAGAAAAGAATGATAAATTCAAAAGGCCCTGCTATGTCCCTAGTGCCGCACCTTCCCAGCTCTTATCTCTAGACAAGGGCTCAGGGGCTCAAGGAGAAGCTGTCTGGAAGGCAATCATATCTGGGAATTAACCTGGAAATAACTGTCTAATGCAGAGCAAAAGGAAGAATAATGTGCCTGAGACATGCAAGTTACGAACGAGGAGGCTCAGTTCATGGTGTGTGTCTGTGTGTGTGTGTGCGCGCGCGCGTGCACGTGCATGTGTGTGTGTTTTCAAGTACAGGAGATACTACAAAAAGACTTCAAAGCATTATCAATTGCATTATTTATTGGTCCAAAAAATGTATTCCAGCAGGAAGAGAGAAAAGAAAGAGGATAAAGATTAAAGCACCAGGAATAAATTAAGAATCAAGGAAGGGGGCCATTTGTAAATGTTTCATGTAGTAAATTAAACAGGCTACTTCACAAAAGATGGAGGAGATAAGGTGAGTTCCTGGCCAAAGCAAGAGTCATGGGGAGTAGAAGAAAGAGGGAAGAAAGAGATGAGATCCTGGAGCTAGACGGAGCTGTCCTTTCCTAGTAGGTGTCAGGAGAGGCACTGTGTAACTGGTTTCCCTTCAGTTGCTCAGAGGCTACTAAGTGCACAATCATAGCCAGTCCGAGTGTCCTGAAAGAGGCCCTAGGGTGGGGGTGGTACAATGAAGGGGAGAGCAGCTTTCCCAGCAAGGCGAGGCAGCCTCACAGAAAGCCTTTGGAATCAGATCTCTAGTAGGCTCTTCCATTCAGGTAGAAAGAGGTATTCCTGATCACCACCTTAGCCTTGGCAGCCAGAAAGACTGGGATTCTCCATTGGCCTAGGAAGATCTGACAATCTAGGGGTCCTGGTTACAGCCTGAGCAGTGGGCTGAGGAACCCTCCATCCCTCGCAAGAAGCCAGGGTGACCGCATGGAAGTGAGGAATCTGGAAGTCTAGGACAAGAACGCCTATTTTTAGACTTGGGGACAGGACTGGGACTGACACAGCCTCTGGCCTGCCTATCAAGAGAAATCTTTACTGTTTAAATATTTCAACAGCCACAAGTCTGCAGGTGATCCATCTAAACTGTGAAGCAGAATCAGCATCAGAGTTGGAAGTGACTCTACTCATTGACCCCCAAAATATCAAGTGCCTACTCTGTGTCAGGTTTGTTAGCAGAGCTGTCCCATAATAACTCTGGGAGCCCGCTCTGCAACATCTGGGCACTGAGCTAGCTGGGACTGGGAGCTTCCCCTTCTCCCTGTGGGAGGGACTACACTCAAGCTCCACTTCCCAGGGGCTGGGGGCTTCTACTGTCCATTGAGGTGGGTGGTTTACAGCTTCTCATGGGCCTTAGGGCTCTCCGGTGCCAGGCAGAAGGCTTTCCTAGACCACTCCTGTAAGCAGCTGGCATCCCAGATCCAGCCTGCCTGTGCCTTTCTATGGCCCTTCATTACTGTTTGCTCTCTCATTTTTCCTGTAGAGGGAGGATAAGCAAGGGGGATGTGGTCCCTCCACCGGAATGCAGGCTCAGAGTATGCCCAAGCCCCAGCACCCCTGATGAGATAATGAGGAACCCATGTCTATCTTATCTTACTGACCATCGGCCCATGTAAGTCTATTCCTTAACCTCTGCAGCATTGTAGAATTTGTCCCAAATCCTAATACAGTGGTCCTCAAGATTCAAAGTGCACCAGAATCACATGCAGGGCTTGATAAAATACAGGTTGAGCCGGACACGGTGGCTCACGCCTGTAATCCCAGCACTTTGGGAGACCTAGGCAGGCGGATCACGAGGTCAGGAGTTCAAGACTAGCCTGACCAACATAGTGAAACCCCATCTCTACTAAAAATACAAAAATTAGCCAGGCATGGTGGTGTGTGCCTGTAGTCCCAGCTACTCAGGAGGCTGAGGCAGGAGAATCACTTGAACCCGGGAGGCGGAGGTTGCAGTGAGCCAAAATTGTGCCACTGCACTCCAGCTTGGGCAATAGAGTGAGACTTTGTCTCAAAAACAAAAACAAAACAAAACAAAAAAAACCCCACAGGTTGTTGGGCCTTACCCCATAGATTCTAATTCAGTTGATCTAGGGTGGGGTCATGAATTTACCTTTTTAATGAGGAACCACACATTGAAAAATATGCCTAGTGTCTGGGAGCCAAAGATCCATGGGACCCACCCTACAAGACCCAAGCGCCGTTAGTTACCGGGGATAAAGCAGGTGGCAAAGCTACCCTGAGATGTAAATGTTAAACAAAGATTACATATGTAAAATTATAAATTGTTGGCCAGGCATGGTGGCTCACTCCTGTAATCCCAGCACTTTGGGAGGCCAAGGCGGGTGGATCACCCGAGGTCAGGAATTCGAGACCAGCCTGGCCAACATGGCGAAACCCCATCTCTACTAAAAATACAAAAATTAGCCGGGCGTGGTGGTGCGTGCCTGTAGTCCCAGCTGTTCTGGAGGCTGGAGACACAAGAATCGCTTGAACGTGGGAGGCAGAAGTTGCAGCGAGTGGAGGTCATGCCACTGCACTCCAGCCTGGGTAACAGACTGAGACTCTGTCTCAATAATAATAATAATAAATTGTTTAAGTGCTATGAAGAAAAAAAAATGCCATGAGTAAAAGCCAATGTAGGGACTAACCTGGATTGGGAGCATGAGAGCAAGGGAAGGTCTCTGAGGAAATGGTTTATGGGTGCCTTCCATCCCCTGGATTTTTCTAGGGTAGCCAGGATTCAACTATTCTGCTCCATTTTTTAACCTAGAAATTCTGGTATTTTCGCATCCAAAACTGTATTTTTCAGATGGCTGCCTGCTTCTGAAAGTAGCCAAAAAGACCTCTGTTTGACTGCATATGCCAATTAAGAAACGATGGTCACTAGACTTAAAAGCCATTTATCTGGTATAAAATGATATGAAGCAGGAGTCACATGATAGGGGTCTCCTGGCATCTCCATACTGTTCTGGAAAGTACCACCACTTTACATGTTTCAAATCACACTGGGGAACTAGCTTTTTCTACTATCCCAAAGTTGGTCAGATAAACCCGCTCCCACCCGCCCCCAAGCAGTGCTGGGCTGGCCCAGCCTCAGTGCCCAGTTGCTTTCTCTTCTCCAGCTGTCAGTTCTAGAAGGCTTTTCAGGGGAGGCCTTAGGGGAAAGAGGTGGGGAGTCAGGAGGGCATCCACAGTGGCTGTATAGCCAAGCAGCCCTCTTCTGGGAGAAGGACCCAGGCCTGTGGTGGGTGGTAGCAGAGTAACAGGGAGAAAGGTCACCCTGGCACTAGAGGGGGGGTGGTGCTTTTACTCACAGAATACCAGGCAGGCCAGCATTTTAAGGGGAATGCCAGAAGAGGCCCATTCTTCGAGAGCTGGGGCAGCCACACACACAGAGAGAGGCTGTGGTATGCCAATTTCTTTTTGGCCAGCATCCTGGGATCTAGTTGATCCTGTTATTGATAAATATGGGGCAGTGACCCTCTAAAAAGAGGTTGATCTTCAGGAACTGTCATGGTGGCCAGCTCCAGGGGCACCCTTCTTTTTTCCCTTCTTACTCTGTGAGTCATGCAGCCTGCCAGACTCTGAGGCAAGGCCCCAGATGCACTTTATACTTGTGCAGAGTTTTATTGTGTAAAAACTACCTCTCATGCTCTTAGGTGAAACTCATAACAATTGTATGAGTAAAGCAGAGATGCCTCCCCTTTCATTTTACAGATGAGGAAATAGAGGCTCTGGAGGTGATGAAATTTGCTCAAGGTCATACAATTACTAAATGGTACCTGTAGAATGTGAGCCTTGGCTTCAAGTCCAGCCCTCTTTTAATCCATCCCAGTGCCTCTCAAAGCCTCTCTTCTACTCCCCATAGCACCAGGACAGCACGGGGGCTGCAATACACAGACTATGATGTCACACAATCTTTTCTTTCTTTCTTTCTTTTTTTTTTTAAATAGAGTCTTGCTCTGTCACAGTGGCATGATCTCAGCTCACTGCAACCTCCACCTCATGGGTTCAAGCGATTATCCTGCTTCAGCCTCCTGCGTAGCTGGATTACAGGTGCCTGCCACCATGCCTGGCTAATTTTTGTATTTTTAGTAGAGACAGGGTTTCACCATGTTGGCCAGGCTGGTCTTGAACTCCTGACCTCAAGTGATCCACCCGCCTCAGCCTTCCAAAGTCCTGGGATTACAGGCGAGAGCCACCATGCCCGGCTATTACAACCTTTTCTTAACTAACAGTCCCTTATGCCCTGGGTAGAGGGCACACCAAGGTTTTCTGCAGAATGGGACAGAGGAAGGGGGAAATTGTTGACTTCAGCACAGCCCTCTCTGGCTTTGGGAATCTTCTGTCCAGTAATATAGTCAGAGTAGACCGTTCATTACCATTCATTAGGGAAACTCCAGAAACTTATAAGATTTCACACTGCAACAGGGGAAGAGAAGGCCAGAGAAACCACCACCTTGTGGGTTGGAGGAAGGGACTAGGTTTTAAGTAGAAAATAATGGATTTATTAAGCAGAGAGGAATTACCAAACTGATTTCTATAAAATGAGTCCACATCTATAGTTGCCCGATTCCTGTGTGCCTATCTCCCCTGATGTTACTGAGCTCAGGGCAGTCTTAGAGAGCCACAGGGAGGTATGACCACAGCACTGGCTTATGTCCCTCTGCCAACCTGGGTTGTGCAGCTGCTCGGCAACCGAGATAGAAATCAGGGTCTAAGGAGGTAGGAATTCAGTGAGGGTCACACACTTCAGTCCTCCTCTGGGAGCTTTCACTTCATTCCCCAGTTTCTGAGTGTAAAGTGAGGAAGGGAAAGGGAAGGGTGCATAATATTAAAGTGTTTTAAATTCAGGTCCCATGAATTCATGTTTATGTTGGAGAGGATGGGGCTGATATATACCACTATATTTACTGGAAGATTTAATGAGCAGATTAATAAACAACAAAGACTTGGGAAGATATTAAGCTCCTAGGGGCAAACTGTGTATTCCTTTATCTTTCACATGCAAAAAAAAAAAAAAATGCTTTACTAAGGAACAAAGTATTTCACCTTTTTCTTAAAGTAGGCATGCTTGAATGGCTTGAATGTAATAGTATTCTACCGAGTTCTTTACTATGATTTCACAGTTTAGGATTTCATTAGTTCTAATTTGGCTAGTCCACCAACTAGTTTATATTGATGAAACTGGACATATTCATCATTATAAAAAACAACATTTTCCCCCTAGCTGCACCATGTAATAAATACATAAAAAAATCACACAAATATAATTTAAGTCCTGAGATGAGATCCTTTGACAGGGAACAAATGAGTAGAGCAGGTTCAGGAATGAGTGAGAAAAAGACAGTCAGTACATGCCAATGCACGTGTGTGTGTTCAGGCACAATGGCACTGCCAGCCACGTGCCTTGGCTCTGCTCAGGGGCAGAGCTCTGGTTTCACTCTGTAGGCGGCACAGCTGCATGGGTGTGAAGGCCAGGTCCCAGGGTGATGCATCATGTGTCAGGTGCAGGAGGTCAGCAGGAGCCAGCAGGTCCACGTGCTCCTGTGTCCAGGTGGCCTTCAGACCTCCCCAGGGCGTGACGCAGGAGTGGGATAGTGGGTATCTGGGCTCTCTTATCCCATGTTCACCCCTTGATGCCCAACCCTGACCATCAGAAACAAAACACACACATCTCACACTCAATCTGCCTCATAGACAGTCACTTTTAGAAACAGAAGGAGAAAGAAACCCTTAGTTAACGAAGCATTTACTGAGCAACTATTATGACAGAACTCCCAAACCATAATCCCTCTCCTCGAAATCCTTAAGATTTATTTTAGAGATAATACAGTGCCTAACACAGGGTTGCATGTCAGAGTGAAACTTACGGCTGGGAAATGATAATAAAAAGAACCAATATTCAACGTTATGGTACTATGGAAGCTACATAATCATAATAATAACTCTATCAAAATACATTGCTCCCCTAGGAGGTGGCAGGCCGAGATAAATAAGCACAGCCCCTTTCCAAAGAGATCTGACCCCTTACACCAAAGACTCTCCTGGCCCATGCCAGGCAGGCATCAGTTCTGAGGTGCTTTTCTAACTGGAAGGCTGGACTTGGCTTTGTGGTGACTTGCCCATCCTCCCTGGCTGGACTGTCTCACCCCACAGCCTCCTGTCACCCTTGAGTCCTCCCTGTATTAGCCCTCTTGAACCAGGCTTCCCACTCCCCAGATTTATTCAGAACCTCAGGCCTGAAACCTCCACTTGGCCCTTCACACCCCACCTGTCCTACCTGCTCCCACTGCCCCAGGCTTTGGCCTTCTGGCTGTTTCCTGTTCACAGACTCTCCTTGCCCTGTCCACTTGGCTCTGCTCCGGCTTCCTCCTCTTGCCTTCCTGTACTGCCCCAGTTTGAATTCTCCCCAGGCTCTCCTGCTTTCGGTAGCCAGGTTTGGCCTCATTTTAGAGGCTTGGCTCTTGATACCCTGCAGTCCCTCGTCTTGCTCAAATGCCACCAGGGTCCCACTATGTCCACCCAGCCCCTCAAAAAGAATCCTAATAAGAAAGTTCTTCAGTTCCCTTGGCTGGATGGGAAAGCTACCTCAGGCCACCTCAGAGCCCAGGCAGGCTCACTGCCTGCAAACAGAGAGGCAGAAACATATAGAACTCCCAAGAGAGGCTTCTGGGAGAGATTTTACCTGAGCTTTTAAGTAAAAGGAGATAATGGATGGCCAGATTTTCACTAGAGAGAGAAAACCTTGTATGGGGGAAACCTAACAGCAAAGAACAGACAGCATGAGCAATACCCACAGGGCCCTAGTGGTAATGAACAGTTCTATATCATGCCCAAGTCCTCAGTGTCAGGGTGTTCAATCAGCAACACAGCATCACCTGGGCGCTTATTAGAAATGCAGAATTTTGACCCCTCTCCTGACCTACTGAATTGGAACCTACTTGGAACCTGATTTTTAACAAGATCCCAGATGATTTGTGTGCAGATTACAGGTTAAGAGACACCAGTTTATAGAAATAACTTGGGACATAGGCAACTTCCCTTGGCCACCTCTGTCAGTGGAATGTTGTGAGGACCCCTGCATGACAGGAGCCAAGGCTGCTCACTTTTTTTTTTTTTTTTTTGAGATGGAGCCTCGCTCTGTCATCCAGCCTAGAGTACAATGGCGTGATCTCATCTCATTGCGGCCTCCTCCTCCCAGGTTCAAGTGATTCTCATGCCTCAGCCTCCCGAGTAGCTGGGACTACAGGCACACACCACCATGCCTGGCTAATTTTTGTATTTTTAGTAGAGATGGGGTTTCATCATGCTGGCCAGGCTGGTCTCAAACTCCTGATCTCAGGTGATCTGCCCACCTCCGTCTCCCAAAGTGCTGGGATTACAGGCGTGAGCCGCCGCGTCCAGCTGGCTGCTTGCTATCTTACTGCAGGCACGTGGGCTGAAATGTGGGCAGCAGAAAGAGCATGGGATCTGGAATTGAGGATGTGACTTCAAGCTCTGATTTGATCACACACTCCCACATACCACAGTTTGCTCCTTTGAGCCTCAGATTCCCCAAATGGAAAAATAGGGATAATAACAATAATACCAACCTCATAAAGTTGTAGCAAGGATCCGATAAGATAAAATATGTGAAAGTGCCTTGTCCAAAGTAAAGCAGAGTACAGACGCTAACTGTGCTATTTGTGTCCTGTACACACACGAGGACTTGCACACATTTTAGAGTTCTAAGCCAGGAAGGTCACCCAGCCTGTTACTTCAATAGACTCAGCTGCATCGAAAACATTTAAAGGCAGCAACAAGTAGGTCCTGATGAGTTTATCTGGGGCACAAAGGGAAAAATCAGACATAATTTTGGGTCTGGTAGAAACTGAGCCCAGGACAAGGTTTAAGAATCTAACTGCTCATCCCAAATCTTCAGTTTCATAAGCCAAGTCACAGGAAGGAATCTTGGTCTTCTAATTATACTGTCAAATCTCTTAAGCTGTAGGTGGTAGCTTTTTTGGCTGGGCCAGGATGGGATTACAGGGGAATCAAAAGATAAAGATAGGAATTACAAGTCAAGCAGGGACAGGTGGCAGGGAATGAGCCAATGTAAGATGGGATTTCGGAAGCCTCTTTCCAATGCCATCTTGTTTAAGACATTTGTATCTTACACTCTCCAGAGCAAACTGGATGGGCAGATACTATTAGAATCCAAGTTTGGGATGACTCTTAAAAATATGAGAGCTCATCTAATGTTCTCATTTTACAATGAACACAATTGAGGTTAAGAACTTGCCCTGGTGGCAAATTTGGAGTAGAATCCAAGTTCTGGCACCTAGTCCAGGGCAACAGGTACTTCTCTTAAGAGACACTGATCAATTCAGTCACTTAAGAGCCTCCAGAGGAAGAATAATGGACTGGTGCTAAGCTGGTAGGAGTTTCCTAGGCAGAGCTTTCTGGAGGAGGCATCTTTGAGTTGTGGTTCTATAGAGAGGAGAGTTATGTCTGGGGTTCCAGTACTCCCAGGCCCTCTTTGATGTGGTGTAGGAAACTGAGAGGGTCATCTACATAGACTGAGTTACAGTTTGGGCTGAGGTGGAGCAGAAGAGAGAGAAGGTCAGGAGGCTGATGAGCTGGACGCAAGCTCAGAAATCACATTGATGAGGCTGCATTTGACAGAAGAGCTGGGAGGGCTGTGCAGGGACAGAGCCAGGACTAGATGCCCATCCTCACACGAAGAAAGCAGTTTTAGTGGCTGTATGACAAATGACTAGAAGAAGATAGAGCCTGGACATAAAATTCAATTTTAAGAATTTTAGCAAGAGTCAGAAGAGGCTAAGTGTGGAGTAGGGCAACCAATGATCCCAGTTTGCCTGGGACTAAGGGGTTTCCCAGGATGCAAGGCTTTAAGTGCTAACGTTAGGACAGTTCCAGGCAAAGTGAGACAGCTAGTCACCCTGGTGTAGTGGGTAGGGGCCACTGGGGTAGCGGCCTGGCTGGACCTGAGGGTGCCTGCTGCTGAGAGGTAGGAGAAGAGGGGGGCTGAAAATGTGAGGGTGGAATCCTCACTAACTTTTGACTTGAAGTGCAAAGGCTGAGTGGAAATTTAGCTGTGGTTCCAGTAGCTTAAATTATTGTTTACAACATTGAGGCACTGTATGAAGAAATGCAAGAAATAAAAATATGAATAAAGCCCCCAAATCCAGGAGAAATATTAGACATGTGCTGAACCATATAAGAAACCATAGGCGATACCTGCTCTAAAGGACAAGCAGAACACCATGGAAACACAAATTAGAGAAGAGAGAGATTCCAGCTGGATGTAGACTGAGGAAGGCTGCAAGCAGAAAACAGAATCTGAGCTGGATTTTGAAGGCCAGATTGGGTTTTGATGGGAGGAGGTAAGGTAGTGTGAAGGACATGCCGAAGTGAGTACACTGCATGTTCTGTAACTATTGTAGCCCAGTGGGGCAAAGGTATCAGGCAAAAGAATGAAGATACAATCTGAACTGCAACTGGAAATACAAGTTTATAGAAGATCCCTGGGTCTGGATTTTACTCCAAGGCTGTAAGGAATCATCGAAGATTTTAGAACAAGAAAAGGACAGAGATCAGAGCTTGAAAGTCAACAAAAGGTTGTTCTTAACCAGCTATAATGAAGGAGAGTCCATAACTCCTTGGGTATCACTTACCACCAGCTCATAACTCCTGGCAGCCGGAAGCTCTAATGTCTAACACAAATCTCTTTCCTGAGATCCTGATGTCCGCTGTGCTTTGTGAATCTCTCCGTCAAGCAGAGAGTTCCACTGGTTTCTATGTAGCTGCGCTTCATGAGAAGGCAAAGGAAGCTGATATTTTACTCTGAGAGTCAAAGGAACTGTCAATTAACCAAATACTTGGACCTTCTTCCAAGAACTTCTGGGGAGAAGAAACACAGTTTACATAAGAATATTTTCTGCATAAAAAGAAGATTCCTGTGCTGGCTTCAAGGTACTCAAGGAAGAGGAGGTGGAAAATGAGAAATAGGGAACAGAGGATGAGGAGGGAAAAGAGAAGGAGGAGAACGGAGGAAATTAGAAAGAGGAAGAGGAAAGGGATGTGTAGTTGGTTAAATTATGCCTCCTCACCAAGCCCCTCCAAAGATATGTGCCAGGGTCCTAAACCCTGGTACCTATGAATGTGACCTCATTTGGAAATAAGATCTTTGAAAATGTAATTAATTTAAGGAGCTCAAGATGAAATCATCTTGCATTTAGAGTGGGCCCTGAGTCCTGTGACTATGTTCGTATAAGAGAAAGGTGTGGGAGATTTGAACCCTAGAGACACAGGGGTGAAGGCCATATGAACACAGAGGCAGAGATTGGAATGATGTGGTCACAAGCCAAGGATCACCAGGAGCCACCAGAAGCTGAAAGAGGCAAGGAAGTGTTCTCCCCTATAGCCTTCAAAGGAAATGTGGCCCTACCAACACCTTGATTTCTGACCTCTGACCCCTGAAAGTGTGAGAGAATAAATTTATGTTGTTTTAAGCCACCAAATTTATGATAATCTGCTACACCAGTCATAGGAAACGAATAATTAGGGGATCCCCCAAGTGTGTGGGGGACATGGGAGGGAGATATCACAGTATGTACCACTCTCAAGTAGCCACCAATATGATGGTTTTCTTTTCCTCAGGAAGCTCGAGAATGATGAGTAAAATCTGAGACTTCTGGACAATACAGGACACACACAAATAATGGAAAAGACACTCAAATAAGGTGGAAACTAAGTAAACAATTGAAACGTGGAGTCAGATGCCACTGACAGCCTAAGAAAGCCAAGTAGCCCAGCTTCCCCATGGGGTTGTCCTCGGCTTTGGTGAGGGGAAGAAGCAGGGTCTGTCCTGGACACTTGTTCCTGGGCTCAGGGCCCAAGTGTTTGATGCACAGCTTCCCACTCTTTCAATGGAGGTGCACCTATTGTCTCCTCAGCCAAAGACTCAGGATCATGAATAACTCATAGTAAACTCACTGGGGGGTTGTAGGCATGGATTTTTTGTAAACACCATAAAAGGTCCTTGATCCAAAAGGCTCTGCACTCAGTGCATTACATGTACTTTCTATTCTCCCCAGGCCCTACCCCACCCCTACATCAGCCCATTATAATTCTTAAAGATTTTGTGCTCAAGCCAGGGGCCCGAGTGGGGGCATTTACCCTCCATATAGTGCAAACATACACAAAGAACAATTGACCACCATATAACATAACACTTTGTAGGGTTTTCAAGCTTACAAATATCAGACTAATTTTTTTTTTTTTTTTTCTTTTTGAGATGGAGTCTCGCTCCTTTGCCCAGGCTGGACTGCAGCGGCGCTATCTTGGCTCACTGCAAGCCCCGCCTCCTGGGTTCAGGCCGTTCTCCTGCCTCAGCCTCCCAAGTAGCTGGGACTACAGGCGCCCGCCACTGCGCCTGGCTAATTTTTTTTTTTGTATTTTTAGTAGAGACGGGGTTTCACCATGTTAGCCAGGATGGTCTCGATCTGCTGACCTTGTGATCCACCCACCTCGGCCTCCCAAAGTGCTGGGATTACAGGCATGAGCCACCGCATCCGGCCCAGACTAATGTTTATCTCTGACCCAAAGGGAAAAAAATACTTCCCAAGCCAAGTAGACCTGACCTGAAAACACCACCATCTGGCCAAGAAACAGAACTTTTGGGATGATTGGATCCAAGAAATTGTTGTGTGGATTATCCAGCCTTCTTCTCCCTGGCTGCCACTCTTAGGACTAATCACTGATAGGAGGAAATGCTGCTAACACATTGATATAGTTTGGATATTTTTTTCCCTGCCCAAATTTCATGTTGAAATGTAATTCCCAATGTTGGAGGTGGGGGCCGATAGGAGGTGTGTGGGTCACGGGGGTGGATCCCTCATGGATTGGTGCTGTTCTTATGATAGTGAGTTCTCATGAGATCTGCTTGATTAAAAGTGTGTGGTACCTCCCCCAACTCTCTCTATTGCTCCTGCTTTTACCGTGTGACGTGCCTGCTCCACACTTCACCTTCTGCCCAAGCAAAAGCTTCCTGAGGCCTCCCCAGAAGCCAAGCAGATGCTGGCACCATGCTTGTATGGCCTGCAGAACCATGAGCTAATTAAAACTCTTTTCTTTATAAATTATCCAGTCTCAGGTATTTCTTTATAGCAACATAAGGAGGGCCTGATACACAAGTACACACGGGCACACACACACACACACACACACACACACACACACAGACACATACAAAGACACACACACAGAGCAGCAGCAACATTGCTGGCAGACACAACAGTCCATGGGGAAAGCAAGCAAACTTCCAGCCATGGGTGTGGGAGCATGCATGCACATGTACAAGTGCAAACAGGGCCTGCTTCTGCAGAAGGAGACATTAGTAGTCGAAGCTCATGCAGTGACAAAGGGGCAGCTGCTTACGCTTTAGTCCCCTCTGTGACCCCTGTGCATGCAAAGCAGTCACCGACAGTGGCAGAGAGGGAAGTAGGAAGCACAGAGTGGTCGGGGTGGGGGTGGGCTGCCCCTGCTCATGGGCACAGAATGCAGCTTTGCTAACAGATTAGGTGGGGCTGGTGGAAATGGAAAAGCTGCTTAAAATGATTACTTATAGAGAGAATCCAAGGAGTTTTGTTGCTTGTGACCACAGATAATCAGGGGCTGCCTCCAGCACCAGTCCAACAAGCTTAAGATGAAAGGACCCCTGTTCAGGTTCTAACCTGAGAGAAATGTCAGAGAAGAATTAGGAAGTGCTTTAACACAAAGCCCAGGATGAAAAATCTGGCAGCTCTCCAACTGTCTCAACATGCAGCATAATAGCGAAACAAAGCCACTCCGCGGCTACATTCATCCAGCCATGAGGCAGAAGGACTGGGAAAACTGGATTTGGCATGCAAGCCCTTCCCTGGGTTTTCTTCTAGCCCAGCTCACAGTTTGAGGTTTGCAAAGGCATCTGCCTCCCTGGGCAAGAAGTTTGTCTATACAGAGCAGATACCGGGTTCCTCTTTTCCATAAATATTTCTGCAAAATCCATTCATCTTCCTGAAATCTCCAATTATGAGTACACTTTGACTTTATTTCTCAGTGCACCTTTCTTTCCCTTAGCCCGATTCTTTCCCCCAGATCCCCACTTTCCTAGGGCAAAAGAAAGCGGCTTCCACTCACAGCAAATTTTCTGAGTCCTCCCCACAGTGAAGTGAAAACCAAAGAGAGAACATTATCAGAGAAAAGCAGCACTATTCATACATCCTTAACTTTACATAATAATTTCATAATTGCTTTTTATGAAATCAAGTTTAATCACATTTCTGCTGCAAAAATGCTTGAAATCGTGACTTTACGAAAGGAGAGGTTGCCAGCGTACTGCATGGCACGCTGCTAGCTATGGAACCCCTCATGGTGTACTTTTGTTTGTTAAGATTTCCAATATTTTAAACTCCATTTCCTAACTCTACAGGTGCTCTCCTCTTTTTCATATATGATCCTTCCGCCTACTGCCATCTGCCATAGGATTTGTCCCATAGCCTGGAGAAACCCTCCCCCTGCTTACAGTCTTTGGAACCCAGCCTCATATCTTGGTTCATCCAGATGGTTACAGAGATCTTCTGACAGAGTTAGGATGCAGTATCACTTTACCAATAGGGGGTGTCCAGTGTATAATGTGCTCCATCCTGAGGAATGCAGGGTTTTAGATGCTATAACACAAACAAATGTCCTCCTTTAAAAATTCATACTTTGTCAACCAGAAGTTATTTTCATATCTGGTTTAAGCATTTGCAAGAAGTGTGCCAGGAAATACAGCAGAATACAGAAGCTGTCTGCAAATAGATCTCCAAGTGATAAGGCACAATCTTCAGTATGCTGCCTGTTGCAAGAGGTTTTTTAAAAATTAAATCTCTCATGGAAAATACACTGGCCTTTGCTACTATAGGCAGCTCAGGGACAGTCAGATGGATGTAAAAGCCTGGGAAGTGAAAAGTTTGAGGAGCCACTGGGACTCTATAACATTGCCTGGTACTGGGAATTAGGATGGAAGGGATAGTGAACTCACTGGTGGCCCCCTGGGAATATTGCTTCCCAGTCCATGCTGATCCACTTGTTCTTGGGGTCCCTAGACACTTCTAGAAAAGGCTAATCCTGAAGGTTGGCCTACCCTGAAAGTCTGAGACGATTCCCTTCTGGTGTCTTCAAGCAGCCTTCTCTTAGGTAAAACAAGGTCAGGAAGGAGCTAGAAACAAATTTGGGGGAGAGGGAAGCTGGATAGTGATTTCTCTCAGAAGGCTCTCTTCCTAGGTTCTTACTGATTAGCAATTCAGATTCACTGTTCTCATATCAGCCCATCCTGGCAAAGGCACCTTCCTGATTGAGTATCAGCCATTTAATCAATCATCTTGCTTTTGTGCTGCACCTCTTCCAATTGGTGACTCTATTTCTCTGATCCTAGGAGTGCAGTCCTGGCCAATGGGCCCTTTGTAGCCCTGGGGGAGGCTGTCATCCCAGTGATGAATCTGGGGGCTTCAGCATGCCCTGTCTATCTCATGTGTAATTCCATTAAAGCAGCAGGCCATTGGCTACCACCTATGGGCATCTGGGCCCTATGGAGCCACCATAGGACTTGACGAATGATGGCATTTGAATCAACCATCTCTGTGCCCTGTCCATAATAAGGGACATAGGAGTACACAGAAGGGACTGGGTTTCTCTTCTAGTCAGGTAAATTCCTACCCCTCTATCAAGATCCAGCTCAAGAGTTACTTCCTCAAAGAGTTTCCTAACTATTCCTATGGCCAGAAAAGGCCTTAGATTCATGGTTATCATATTCCCACTCTTCCTTTAAGGCTTCTTCCCAGCCCAGCTTTGGCCATATTCTAAGCCACTCCCTGACTCTTCAGGTTGTGCCCAGGTGCAAATCTCCAGTCAAGCTGGCCACTCAACTGAGAGCTGAAGGTCATTCTTCTGGCCTCTCATGATGAACAGAAGCAAACTACAGCTCTGAATATTCCTGTCACAGACCATCACCAGACTTTTATGCTACCTCAGTGGTACCATAGCAGAGCCACATGCCAAATAGCCACTTGTCAGGAGGATCATTCTGCTCCATTGTTTAATTATGCAAACTCATTTGCATCTCCTTCCTCTGTCTCTGAACAAACAGCAATCATGCAAATACCATCAGCTATCAAGCCCTGTGGGGGCTCCATAAAGCCTGGATACCCTTAGGCAGTGGCCAGAGGCCTGCTGCTCTAATGGAATTACTGAAGAGCTACACAGGGCATGCTGCAGTCTCCAAAACCAATCCTGGGCTGACAGCCTCCTCCAGCGGATACTGAGGACCCATCAGCTAGGGAAGCTCTACTAGGACAGAGAAATGAGGTCACTATTTGGAAGAGGTGCAGCACAAAAGCAAGAGCATGGTCTTGAGACTCAAGAAGACCACACTCCCCACAGCTTCTTGCCCATGCTCCTCACCTGAGAGGGGCCCTACCTGCTCTAGTCACAAGTCCACAGATGGTACCTTTTTGAGAGTTTAGAGACATTGTTTGGTGACCTGGAAGTGGAGGTCAAAGCAGGCATTTTAGTTTCAGCCCAGAGATTGGAGTGCTTGCTCTGGACAGGACAAAGGCCCCCAAAGGCAGAACTGAGTGGCAAGTGTGGAGAGTGCACCAGCAGTAGGTGCTGGAATTAGACTCTCTCTCATCGCAGGACAGGAAAGGAGAGTAGCTGAAGCCAAGGTTTCTCCCAGGCAGCAAGACTTGCAGCCAGAGACAGCTTTTTGACCTGGAACCAGTCTGTGTATGCCACTACTGGATGCCCCAGCCTGCTCCCTTGGTCAGCTGGGGGACAGTGGCCTACCAGCTGAGGAGCAAGAGAGAGGTGGAACCCCCTCCCCTGGAGATCTAACCTCAAGCACAGTCTACCCTTAAAGAAGGGAGAATCACAGCCCATCAAAGTCCCCACTGAGTCAAAGAAAATGTGAGTGTGGTGCCAGCTGCTAAAGGGAGCACCACCAAAGCCTGGAAATGGACCTGGAGAGGGGATAATATATCACCTTCCACCAACCTCCTCAGTGCACTATTGTGGACTCATCAGTGGCTCTTTCTGTTGGGGCTCAGGGAGCATGGGCTGAAAGAAACCACTTCTCAGACTTCTCCAGTGAATCCATCCCCAGTGAAGGCAAACGCACACTGGGAGGTGTTGCTTTTCATGCTTCTCCCTTGCCTCTGTCCCTGCCGCTAACTGCCGGCTCTTACTCTTAAGCCACTTACTGGACTGCAGCCTGAATTACATCACCAAACAAAAATTACGTTGCTACAATAAGCAATGTGTGAGAAGCCATAGCACAAAACTATGTGCAAACATGGAACTCATACAGAGCCTTGGTGCCCTGAAAGCTCCCAGAAATGAAGCAGTTGCTTATGCACAATATATACCACAGTCATACCCCAAGGGGAAAAAAGAATTAAAAAATCAAGAAGCCCTATCCAAACCTATCCAAATGATAGACACACACACACACACACACATATTTTATATATATATATAAAGAAGTGCTGGCTCTCTCAGGTGAGAGGGAACCAGTGCAAGAAGCACTGCAATAAAAAATCCAGAGTGTTATGTTACCTCCAAGAGACCCCACTAGCTCCCAAGCAATGGATCTGAGCCAGAATGAAATGTCTGGAATGACAAACATAGAATTCAGAATATGGATGGCAAACACCAATACCCAAAAACATCACAAGCAAGTTGAATTCCAATACAAAGAAGCCAGGAAAACAATCCAAGATTTGAAAAACAATATGGCTATATTAAGAAAAAATGAAAGCAAGACTCTGGAATTGAAAAATTCACGGCAGGAATTTCAAAATATAGTAGGAAGCCTTAACAACAGACTAGACCAAGCAGAAGAAAGTATTTCAGAACTCTAAGATAGGTCCTTTGAATTAACCCAAATTTGTTTGTTTGAATCAACAAAAATAAAGAAAAAAGAATTTTAAAAAATGAACTAAGCCTTCAAGAAATACGGGATGACATAATGTAACCAAATACATGACTTATTAGCATTCTCAAGAGAGAAGAGATAGTAAGCAACTTGGAAAATATATTTGAGGATATAATTCAGGAAAATTTCCCCAATCTTGCTAGAGAGGTCAACAGGCAGATATAAGAAATCTAGAGAATTCCTGTGAGATACTATACAACAGGGGCTCCCAACCCCTGGAGCCATGACTGGTACCAGTCCAAGGCCTGTTAAAAACGGGTCCATACAGCAGGAGATGAGCGGCAGGTGAGCAAGCACTGCCACCTGAGCTCCGCCTCCTATCAGATCAGCAGTGGCATTGGATTCTCATAGGAGTCTGAACCCTATTGTGAGCTGTGCACGCGAGGAATCTAGGTTGCACACTCCTTACGAGATGAAACAGTTTCATCCTGAAACCATCCCTGCCACCCCAGTTCATGGAAAAATTGTCTTCCATAAAACTGGTCCCTGGTACCAAAAAGGTTGAGGACTGCTGCTATACAAGACAACCATCTCCAAGGCACATAGTCATCAGACTATCCAAGGTCAATGTGAAAGAAAAAAAATCTTAAAGGCAGCTAGATAAAAAGGATCATATTACCTATAAAGGGTAATACTATAATATGACCCTTTCATAGTATTAGTGTGAAAACCATCAGACTAAGAACAGACT